>NC_000020.11:6581486-6733001 GCF_000001405.40 Homo sapiens | reverse complement strand
CCCACTCACCATAAAGGCACCGCAATGGCAGACATTACTAATCAACTCCTGGCCCTTTTTCCTGCTAAGGCTGGAAGTGGCCTCAGGTTCCGTCTTAGAACAACATTGCCAGCAGTCACTACTAATTGATGGGGTTGGCACCTGAGATGAAATCTAGTTACCTTCCTTGTTTTAGATATTTTGTGCATTTCTGATATCATTATCGATTCTATGCATTTCTACCTTCTGTCAATTTTCAGTTTGCAAACCACTTTTAAAATAAAAATCAATGCAATCATAAAATGACAATACTCATAAATTACAGTATTCTGAACACATTTTTTTTTCTGCCCCAAGACTGTCTACCAACAGCAATCAATATGATAAAGGTTAAGGGAGAATCAAAATGTTCTGTAAAGAAAACAAAAAAATGATTAGGACACAAATCTGCTTAGTCTGTTAGCAAATTTCTGTAAGGAACAGGTATGTTAAGAAGTGCAGCCTCACAGAAAACAGTGGGAAGGCCTTAACCGTGGCAGAAATGATCTCCCTGATTTAGGACACATTGGGAGAATCTGGTCCAAGAACAAGTGACTGCTTTTTGGGCAGAAAAACAAATTTTGTGTTGTAACTGTGTGAAATTATTCATAGTAGACACAGTATAGTTTCAGACAAACTGGAGAAAATGTGTTAAAGAGAAAAGACGAATTAGCATAAGTGATTCACTGGTGTTTTCAGGCTGAGTGAAACACACAAATCTGAATTTATCAGTTCTGAGCTCCCTCTGCTTTCCTCTCCCTTTCCCCCCTGCCAGGCACCCCCTCCAATGTTCCCTTTTCTCCTATTCTGAATGCATCAGTGTCCCGGAAATTCTGGCAGCCCTCCTAGGCCAGCTGTTGCCTCTGACCTGGACATTCCCAGCCTTCTACAAGGTCATGGGACACGTTGTATTCTGGGATTCCTCTAATGGAAGATGGGAAGGGCTTGAGACTATGTGTCCCCACTGTCCCCATGACCCTATGAATCCCTGGCTAGTGGGTCCAGTTTACAAACACAGGCCTGAGTGTCAGCCTTGTGGCCAAGGCTCAATGGATTTGAATTGAATGTAATCCCTAACTTATAAATTCAGTACTCCACTTAGCTCCATAACCAACAATATAGCTCATGGAATAAATATTAGTGCTCCCATTTTCTAGAGGGGAAAATATAGACAGGAATCTTCAGTTGGAGTGTTTGAATTTCAATATAATGAATTCAATGCCTTATTCTTGTATTCCAGAAACAGCAATTGTCGCCACAAATGAAGAATGTTCACGTTTGTTTTACAACTTCTTAATGCACCGCATTCAGTCTTCCTGTAAACTTGACTGCTTAGTCCTTAAAGTATATTGGTGGAGCAATGTCTGCATGCCTTCGTCAACACATCTATTGGCCTGTTTGTCCCAGCATCCCAGTTGGAATGGGAACCCTTCTAAGAAAAGCCTTTATCCTTTACTCACCTACAAACTCACTGGGCACCCCCGGAATTGTGGTCCTGGGCGTATAGCAGGTGTCTAGTCACTCTTTTCTGGTTGTGCCAGTAATTGGGGCCTGATTACAATTCTGTTTCATCCAGTGCACCTCAATGGAGAGAAACCAGCAAGAAACTCATGCTTTCTGCCCCATCTCCTTCCTTTCTTCTGTGTGTAAAGTGGAGAAAAGGCTGGAGAGTGTGGTAAGATAGGAAGAAACCAAGCAAAGCACACATAAACAAACAAATGAATAAATAAAAGGGAAAAATAGGGGAGATTTTGAGTTGTCAAGAAAAGAAGAACTCTGAACTTTTGGCACAGACTCAAACCTGGAAACCCAGTGAGGTTTGCCCATCACTAATGATCACATAATAATATGTTCCCAGGGGAGGGGCTGAGAGAGGCTATTAAAATACCGCAGCTCTGGTGCTCTATGGGAGACAAGTTTTCTGAAACGTGGTCCCTGTCAGATTTCCCTTGAGAGTCAAAGGGAAAAATGACTGCAGTTTGGCTTCTAAAAGGTAAAATGTTGGGAAAACTCACTGGGGAGGTTTCTTTCCCCAGCACAGGGTTTGGAAATGCCTGCGTTTGCGTTGTATATTTTAAATGTGGTGATGGGCCAGCTTGTTAAGTGTGCTGGCTTGCTTACTGGGTGACTGGCAGGCAGCCGTAAGTGAGCGGAAACAAAACCATTTGTGGGGTATGAGGTGGCCAAGGTAGCCAGAACCAGCCTTTTGTGATGTCTTCAATAAAAACAGTTATTTCAACGGGTGTTGGCAACTCGGCCTTTCCTTCTAGAAAGATAGGATTCTTGGGTGGAGTACACATGGGTCTACGGGCATCTTGACTGATCACTGTGGCCTATGAAAAGCCCTAATTTCACCATATCTTATGGGTTACACATGGTAGGGCTCAGTAAAGGGTTTTGTGTTTTGTTTTTTGTGTTTTTTGAGACAGAGTGTCAGTCTTGTTGCCCAGGCTAGAGTGCAATGGCACGACCTCGGCTCACTGCAACTTCTGCCTCCCGGGTTCAAGTGATTCTCCTGCCTCAGCCTCCCGAGTAGCTAGGATTACAGGCATGCACCACCACGCCCAGCTAATTTTGTATTTTTAGTAGAGACGGGGTTTTTCCATGTTGGTCAGGCTGGTCTCGAACTCCCGACCTCAGGTGATCTGTCCGCCTCAGCCTCCCAAAGGGTTTCTTTTAAAATAAACTTTATTGAGGTATAATTTAATACAATTAAATTATCCATTTTAAGTATATAGTTCAAGGAGTTGTAATAAATGGATAGACCCATGTAACCACTACTGAAATCAAGACAGGACATTTCCATCACATTAAAATGTTCCCTCGCGCCTTTTTGCAGTCAACTCTGCCTCCTGACTCACGGAAACCACTGATCTGTTGTCACTCTACATTGGTTCTGCCTGTTTTAGAATGTCATACAAGTAGAATATTACATGTATTCTTTTGTATTTGGCCTACTTGGCTTGTCATGATGGTTTTGAGTTTTATGTATGCTGTGGGTACCCAGAGATCATTTATTTTTTATTGTTGCATAGTGTGCTAGTGTATGAATATGCCACAGTGTATTTGTCTACATGCTGTTGGATATTTGGGGTTTTTAATGGAAAGCAGTTAATAGTCCTCCAAGGAGTAAAGAAAATAGAGAAGACAGAAGGAGATTTTAAGCTAAGAAAGATATGGAAATATGGGCAAAAGGATTACACTGGCACTTCAACAAAGACAATATCCAAATATCTAACATCTGTGAATTAAAACCAAAACAAGTTACCAAATACCCTCACCAGAATGGCTGACATAAAAACCTCTGGCAATACCTAGTGTTGGAAGGACGTAGGGCAAAGAAAATTCTTATGCTGTGTGTAGGGTAATGTAAATTGAGCCCGCTATTTTTCAAAACTGACAGTACGCACTAAACATAACATATGCAAACCTGTGACCTGGCAATTTCACTCCCAGGTTTATATGCAATAGGAACACATACATATGAGCATCAGTGAACCTGTACTAAAAGATTTATAGCAGTGCTATTTATATCTCCAAACTGAAAATTACTTGAGTAATCATTGATAGTAGAATGAATCAACAAATTGTGGTAAACTTATAGATCACTAGACAGCAGTGAGAGTCAACATTATACAAATACACGTAACACTATGGATATTTCATAAACATTATGGTGAGCAAAAGAAGCCAGATACAAAAGAGTATACTATATGATACATTTGTATATGTGTCTAAAATTCATATATAGTGTCAGAAGTCAGAAATAGGGGTTATTCTTGGTCAGGGTAGTGACAAGAAAGGAATACAATAGGAACTTCCATGGAGCTGGTAATGTTCTGTTTATTTATCTAGTTACTCAAGTGTGTTCAGTTTGTGAAAATTCATCTACATCTGCATTTAATAATTTGTGCACTTTTTGTCTGGGTGTGGTGGCTCATGTCCATAATCCCAGCACTTTGGGAGGCCGAGGCGGGCAGATCACCTGAGGTCAGGGGTTCGAAACTAGCCTGGCCAATGTGGTGAAACCCCATCTCTACTAAAAATACAAAATTAGCCGGGCGTGATGGTGCACACCTGTAATCCCAGCTATTCGGGAGGCTGAGGCAGGAGAATCGCTTGAACCCAGGAGGCGGAGGTTGTGGTGAGCTGAGATTGTGCCATTGTACTCCAGCCTGGGCAACAAGAGCAAAACTCCATCTCAAAAAAATAATAATAATAAAAATAATCTGTGCACTTTTTATAAGCATGTTATTATTCAGTGAAGAGTATCAATTGTTTTAAAAAATTTCTTTTGTATTTTCAATCCTCTACCTTCATTTACACACACATACACACGTAAATGCACACACACATCACAAGAACTGAGGAATTGCTGGCTAGGCATGCTACTAACTTTGGTTCATAAAATGGGGTCATGAGGCCGGAGCAGCTGCCTCACAGTCCAGGTCACCAAGAAGTCACAAACAGTTGTGATAATAGGTTCAGTTGTGCTAAGTAAGGCATCAAGATCTACTTGGAAATATAAATACTTGTGGTAACTACATAAGGATACATCATAATATTGGTGTGAATCTTTGGAAATGTCCACAAGAGTTCTGGTCCTCGTTTTGGCAACATAAAAAAGGAGGCATAGCAAATTGCCCTCATCAGATCATGACCTACACGAGTCCTTCTCAATGGTTGGTCTTTGGTCCTGGTTTTTCAAAAAGTTAATTAAGTGGTTAGGAAAAACTAATGGAGAGTTTGGCATCACAGGTGCAAGTCAAATGAATCAATAGGAAGGGTAATATAAAGCTCTCATCATCCTCAAAGTATCTTCCCTAATACTTTTTGAAATAGTACTGTTGTAGATATACTTGTTTTGGCTAAGGCTTTTCATCTCTAAAGAAATGAATGATTTTTTGAAAAAGAATTATCAGCAATAGCCAGCAACTCCTTAGTCTAATGATGCCAGATTTCGCCCAGTCTCTAGGCAATAGGGTGGCTGCTAGTACAACCATGGTTGTTCCTAAAGGGCACTCAACCCTTTCTACCTCTGCTGCTCTACGTTGACATAAAACAAACAAACATGCAAGCTTTTCTTGTTCTTTTTTTCTTGATATTTACAAGAAATTTTGGAATTTTTCAAAAGGAATTGCAAAATTAACAATAATCCAATTTTTTTAATGATGAGCATACAAAATAACCACCTCTGTTTCTTAAATGCCCATAAGATGCCTGGGTTTCTCTCTATGTTTTGCATTTACTCCAGGAAACAGCTATAGTTCAGTGAAAAGAATCTTCATGTCGCCATCATAAGACATATTTGAAGCCTAGGTCTTTTGCTTAGTGTTGTATGAGCTTAGATAAGACCCTCATTCCTCATCAGCCACAGTTCCCTCATTTGTCAATGACGAATGATGTGAGAATTAAACAAGATAAGCTGTGTGTATGTCTTCTGAATTATAAAATGTACAATGGCTCTGGACCAGCAGTGTCATCATCACCTAGGACTTGTTAGAAATGCAATTTTTCAACCAGGCACAGTGGCTCACGCCTGTAATCCCAGCACTTTGGGAGGCCGACAAGGGAAGATCATTTGAGACTAGAAGTTCGAGACTAGCCTAGGCAACATAGTGAGACCCTCTTCTTTACAAAAAAAATAACAAATAAAATTGGCTGTGCATAACGGTTCATGCCTGTATTCCCAGCTACTCGTGAGGCTGAGGTGGGAGGATTGCTTGTGCCCAGCAGTTTGAGGCTACAGTAAGCTATGATCATGCCACTGCATTCCAGCCTGGGTGACAGAGGGAGACCCAGACTTAAAAAAAAAAAAATTATCAGGCTAAACCTGGATCTACTGAATTGGCAACTCATGGGGTGCAGTCCAGCAACCTATTTTAGCAAGCCTCACTGGTGTTTCTGATGCTCACTGAACTTTGAGGGCCACTATGCTGCATAGACACATGCCTGCACTTAATTAGGAAACTGCTCTTGTCACCCAAAGCCTTGACTCAGACTCTACCTAGGACACTTCACCCCCTCAGAAAGTATGGGGAGGAAGCTTCTCCTTTCTCTCTTGTCTCTTTCCTAATTCCTCCTCTGCAGGATGAAGAATGACATATTAATAGTTGATGGTGAGATGGGGCAGAGTCAGTTCTCCACGTGGACTGGGCTCTTTGTTTTTGGCCCTGTCTCTGGCAGGTCCCTGCTCCCAGGTGTTTATTCTCACTCCTGGTGCAGGTCAGGTGGGGCTGGCCTCTTAGAGATAGGCCTAAAACTTTGGGGGCTCCTTCCTGGGGTGTGAGCCAGGGAGTGACCCCCATGGTCTGCCCAGTGTCTGCTCCACAAACCCAGGTCTTCCTGCGGGCGAGTTCTAGATGAGGATGTGAAGGAGTGGGCAGCTCCCCTTTGCCCTTAAACGCAAGCCCTGTCTTTCTCAAAGGCAAAATACAGGAAATCCGTCATTTGGAGGTCAAAACACTGATACTGGACTTGAATTCTCGTTGGGTCTGTTCTCAACTGATTTAAACCAAGATGGAAAAAGTAGCATGATCAATTGGCACCTCAAACCCCAATCTTCATCTACTACGGTAGGCCAGCCCTGGGGACTAACTTTGATATTGACTCTAGACACCATCTTCCCTGAGAATCCACACCAGGACCCTGCCCTACTCTATTGGCCCCATCTAGATATTCTCACTTTGTTCCCATTTCTAGCCTGCTGGACAAAACTACTTTTTACTTCTCTTGCATTGTGGAAAGGATGAACCGACTTCAAGCCCACCAAATATTTCTCAAGTCTACCCAAGCCCATTCCTAGCTCCAATTCTCAAATCTGTCCACATTTTTAAAAATCCCATTTCTATTCCTGCTCCCTTCTCTATGAGAATTTTCTGTCATCATATGTTACAAAGATGTGTCTAATAAACCACCCAAAAGCTTAATGGGTGAAAATAACAATAATATATTTTGCTTACAAATTTGTAAGTGGAGAAGGGTGCAGTGGGGCTGGCCGTATCTTCTCTGTGTGGTGTTACCTGAGTGGCTTGACTGGGAGCTGGATGATGTGCTTGCTATCAAGACAGTTCATTCAAATGGTTGGCCAGTGGGTGCTGGCTATCACCTGGGAGCTCAGCTAGGGATATGGTCAGAGGCCACATGGACCTCTCCATGAGCTGCTGCAATGCAGAGGCATGATCAGTGACTTTGATCACATAGCCTCAAACTCCTGAATTCAAGTGATCTTCCTGTTTCAGCCTCTCAAGTAGTTGAAATTACAGGTGCGTGCCACCATGCCTGTCTATTTATTTTTATTAAAGAGCCGCTTAGATTTTATTACAGCATGGTGGCTATGTCCCAAGAATGAGCAACACAAGAGAACAGGCTAAAATGTATGTCATTTTAAAGACCTATCCTTGGAAATCACATGCCACCACTTCTACCATGCTCTATTGGCCAAGGCATTTACAAAATCTTGCATATACCAGAGGAGGGTACATAGATTCTACCTTTGATGGAGGAATGGAAAGTTTCTGAAAAGATTGTACGATGGGAGATATTGTTGATGTCACCTTTAGAAAATACAATCTGCTACTGAATTCTCTCATGGCATCAAACTAATTTTATTAAAATGCAAATATTCCTAGAAAGGCAATACAATGAACTGTTACCAGTCAATGCCCTATTGAGGATTTTTAAAAATATAACCATCTCAGAGGAAAAATGACATATATTGGTTAAAGATGACAATAGCTTCTAGTTTGCACACTTACTGTATGTCAAACACTATGCTACACACTTTACGTGTGTTACTGTCTACACTTGTGACAAACCTGTGAGATAGCGATTATTGTTCACATTTGACAATTGAGAAACCCAAGCTTAGATAGGTTTGGGGAACTTCTTTGAGGCCACACAGGTCAAAGTGGTTGAACTGGGATTCCAACCCAACAAGACTGGTTTTACCTCCTCAGTCTGATTTCAAGCTTTCTCCCAACTTACCAACCAAAACTTAAAAAACAAAACAAAACGAACCAACAAACAAACAAACAAAAAAAAAAAAAAAAAAAAAAAAAGTCTTTTACTTTGAAATAATTTTAGATTTACAGAAAAGTTGCAAAAATAGTACAAGAATTCCTGGATGCCCTTTACCCCACTTCCTCTGATATTAACTCCTTATATGACCATAATACAGTGATCAAAACAGGGCCATTAACATTGGTATTGTTAAAAGAAAAACTAGAAAAATTAAGTTTAACAGAACTTAATTGAGCAGAGAACAACTCTCGAATTGGGCAGCCCTCAGAACCAGAAAACATTCAGAGAGCTCTCCTCACAACATGGGGAGGCAGACTTTATGAACAGAAAACAGAAGTGAGGTACAGAGACAGCTTTGATTGACTCCCGTTCTGTGCTTGCCTTATTTGAACATGGACTAATAATCACTGGAAGCCTGTGATTGGCTGAGACAAAGCTATTTATTACAAAATAATAACTAAGTTAGGCTTTCAGTTAGTTTATGTACCAAGTTAGGTTGCAATTTGCTAAGGCCTCAAAGTATGAAGGCATCCTCAGGTCAACTTTAGTTGAATTTCACAGTACAATGTTAACTAAACTACATATGTTTTTGTGAATTGTACTAATTTTTCCAGGAACATCCTCTTTATGTTACAGGATCTAGTCTAGGATCCCACATCCCATTTAGTTGTTATGTCACCTTTTTTCCCAATCCGTGACAGTTTTTTTAATCTTTCCTTTTCTTTCATGATATTTTCACTTGTGACGAGTACTGCTCAGTTATTTCGAAGAATGTCTGTTTGGATTTATCTGATATTTTTTACTCATGATTAGACTGAAGTTATGAATTTTTGACAGAAACACCAAAAAAGTGATGCTAGATTCTCCTCAAGGCAGCGCATCAGAGGATATATTATGACAATAACTCTTATTGCTAGTGTTAGCTTTGATCTTTGATCACTTACCAGGTAGCATTTCTAAAGAAAGAGGTAGGAGAAAAAGAAACATGTGGACTTGATGTGGCAGTAGGCAATTCTATGCAGAAATGTTGTTATAAATAGTATGATGACTAATTTTTCTTTTTTAAAATTTTTTATAATTTAGCTGGGATTACAGGCACGCACCGTCACGTCTGGCTAGTTATTGTATTTTAGTAGAGATGGGGTTTCACCATGTTGGCCAGGCTGGTCATGAACTCCTGAACTCAAGTGATCTGCCCACCTCAGCCTCCCAAAGTGTTGGGATTACAGGCGTGAGCCACTGTACCCTGATGATGAATAATTATAACAAGTCTTCATGTGCCAAGAACAATTCTTAGCACTTTATTAAAATTAACTAATGGGCTATTCAGGATGCAATGATTTCTCAGGACCTTGGTCTCCATGATCTTTTAGGGAATTTGTTTGATAACAGAGCCAACTTGGGGGTGTCAACACCATCGTGGGGCTCAAGGAAATGAGGGTGGAAAGTGGGCATTTCTAGAGGGAATCTGGGGGTTGTAAAGAGAAGATCAGCGTTTTAGGTCACTAGCTGAACTCCAGCTACTGACATTTCTGTCCTAAGTGCATGGAGCTTCCCTTCCATTGATCCATTGAGAGGCAGCCTGGCTGGAAGGGTTTGTGGCCCAGAGACCTGGCTCTGTGGGTTAGCACCCTCTTTTACTATCATAAATGGAACTTCTTCAGCTTCAGCTTCTGTGTTTGCAAAAGGATGATGATGCCTATTTATAAGCAGGAAGGCTATGAGAATAGTGCTGTAAGGATAGTGCAGATAAGTTTCTATTCTATTAGTAATCGATAAGTGAGAGGTAGTATTTTGAGAGCAACAACATGGCATAGAAAGAAAGAATGGAATCTTTAAGTTGTACACTCCTGTCTCTCAGCTTCAGGTCTGCCACTTTCTACTTGGACAAACTTGAGTAACATAAAACTCACAGCATCGATTTCTGGAAAATGTTGAGAAGCATCCATAATTTGTAAGCATCCCTGGTTTGTGAGAGTAATAATGTATTGAAAGTTCCTGGCATATATTACGTGTCCAAAACCAGTAACTTTTATTTTTATTATTGTTGATTACGTCTTAGTTAGTTAATTCTAAGGTTTTCTATCTAACCTTGGCCTTTTTCCAGCCAAATTCTCCCTTCAGGGCACCCTCATGAGGGACTTCAACTAGGTGGGCTTATTGGCCCTTGAACTGGGCTCCTGAGTAGAGCTGAAAAATTCAAAGGAAATCCATGAGTCTCCATGCTACCAAGGATAGAGCAGCAATGAGTTTTTTTATTTTAATGGCACAACTGTTGGCATCAAAACAAAGAAGAGAATTTTTTTATGACTCAGCAGTGATTAGCCTCTAAACTCTCAAAATATTTGCAAACTCTTGTATTCTCTATGGATACACAGGTATTGGTATGTTTCTAAAGAAAATATCGATGCAGAATACAGGCAGTTTGGAAATGGCTACTTGCCGAGATGATTAATATTTTATGACAACAGTTGAACTGAAATGGATATTCCTTCTGGTCCTATAATTGCTGGTGGCATTTCAGAGTGGAAAGAAAGCCTTGGTTTAAAATAAAACAAAGCTGTTGATGAGAATATCTTCAGCAGACTGGAGTTTGGGTTGAGGATTACTCCTCTGAAAGTGAGGGGATACAATTAGGGCAAATTGTTGTGTCTTGTATGTAACCGTACGTGAAAATGAACTGTGGTGCTCACAGTTTTTCCAGTTGTAACATAAGTGTAAGTTACTGGGTTGATAGGAGGAGACTTGGATTCCGGACTCCCTTCTGCCATTTACGTGCTATGTGACACTGGGGGAGTAGCAGTACCTGCCTTGTACTTGGTTGTCTCACCTAGAGATTTGTAAGAACAATATTTATATAACCACATGCTCTGGATATATCATAATTTCCAAATGACTGTGGCCAACAGATGCACACAGTGGGTGCTTAGCAAGCACTCGATGAGTTTAGTAGAATTTAGCCTAGTCCATACTTGGCATGAGTGGCCTTGGGCACATCCCTGGTATTTTCCTATAAAATAAAGATGGTGGGCATTAAATGGCCATAAGAGTTGCTCCCACATCCAGATGTCTCTCTGTATCCTGGTGTGCTTGTCTGTGCCCTCTTATATACCTGTACAAACATTCCACCATAGCTTCCAAGCAGACATTCTGAAGCACTGGTCACCTGTCTCTAAAGCATTCCCAGACTGAAAGCCTAATGTCCTTTGCGTTGTACCCTCCAGTTCACAATGTGCCAAGAACTTCTCAGGAAAAAGCAAATAATGGAATATAAAGTTTCCACTGAGGCTGAATTTCAAACAATAAGCGGAAGTAGTTTATTTAATCAAATGAGAATCTTTATATTCTCTCTCTCCTTAAAGCAGTTACAATTCCTAAACATCTCAGGGGAGTTTCCTTCGAGTTTCCAAAAATATATACCACAAACTACATTTTAAACTGTTAATACAAATATGATTTACAAGGCAAACAAGACTAGCAACTCTTAAAAGTAGGTTTCACAAAGAGCATTCTTAGAGGAATGTTTCTTAATTCCCAACAAGTCATTGGCAGGTAAATGTGGCCATAACTGAACACACATTTTCCTGTATCTTCATAAAGAATGGAATTCGATCAATCTCTCATACTGATACAGATTTTTAACTTCAACAAAAAGAATACTACTAATTAAAATTGCTCACAATAGTCATCAGCAAACATTTCAAAGGCTACTTTATTGCTTTTCAAAATGTATTTAAGTGTATTAGTTTCCTAGGACCACTGTAAGAAGGAACCACAAACTGGGTGGCTTAAAATATCAGAAATTTATTCTTTTTTCTTTTTTTTTTTTTTTTTTTTGAGACGGAGTCTCGCTCTGTCGCCCAGGCTGGAGTGCAGTGGCGGGATCTCGGCTCACTGCAAGCTCCGCCTCCCGGGTTCACGCCATTCTCCTGCCTCAGCCTCCCAAGTAGCTGGGACTACAGGCGCCCGCCACCACGCCCGGCTAATTTTTTGTATTTTTAGTAGAGACGGGGTTTCACCGTTTTAGCCGGGATGGTCTCGATCTCCTGACCTCGTGATCCGCCCGCCTCGGCCTCCCAAAGTGCTGGGATTACAGGCGTGAGCCACCGCACCCGGCCCAGAAATTTATTCTTTTATAGTTTTGGAGCTAGAAGTCCGTAATCAAGGTGTTGGAAGGGCTTTGCTCCCTCTGAAATCTATCAGGGAAAAACCTTCTTCCTCCCCTTCCTAGCTTCTTGTGCCGCCCCTTTGCTGGCAATTTTTGGCATTTCTTGGCTTGCAGCTGCAGCACCTCAGTCTCTGCCTCTGTCATCACATGGCATTCTTCCCTTGTGTGTCTGATGATAGATAGATAGATAGATAGATAGATAGATAGATAGATAGATAGATAGATAGATAGATAGATGTATAGATATATCTGTTGGTCTTTTTGTCCAGTGCATGCACTTTTCCGCATGTTTGTTGTATGGTGGACTAGATTCTGCTTGAAAACTCCAACGGCATTGAGATGATTGTTTCATGAGGGCGACAACTCCATTTTTGATGAAGGCTACCACTCCATTTTTTTACTTTCTCAGTTGTAAAAGATTCTCCTCTTAGCAAGTCTGTTGGCTAGGATCATGCAGCTACTGTCAGTAATCTTCCTCTCTAGACAAGCCCAGAGCCTGGAGGGGTCTCTTGCCCCTTGTGACAATTCTCCTGATATTTGATGAGAGTTAGAAGTTCTGTATTGTGTGCTCTTAGCTTACCTTCTAATCCACACAACTCAGCTGCTGTAGGAATTGCTGTGAAAACCTATTCTAAACAATCTCCAGCGAAAGTTATTTTAAATCGACATTAGCCAAGTATCTGAAAGACCAGAAATCTGTGCAGAAATGGGCTCAGGATAGCTAATGAATCCTTTCTCTTAAGTGGCTCCATTTTCCTCCTCATAGTCACATGCTGTTCTTGTTTTCATTGACATTGGCAGTGTTGGACAATGAACCTACCTTCTCTTCTCTCGGATTCCTGTCTTTTAAAACTTGCATTATAACTTATAGTTTTAGTTCTCTTCTTTACCTCTCTGATTACCTTTATGCTATTTTCTTTCTTCCTTCTTTGGTTTCTCTTTCCCCCGCAATGGGAAATTAAGTGTATGATCTGGTCTACACACACAATTCCCTCCGTCCTCACTGTGCTGAGTGCGATATTTGTTCATAATATTTTATTCCCTTGTCGTTACCATGCCTCCTCACTCCACTGACTTCAGGCTTGGCTATGGGACTTGCTTTGGCCAATGGGATATGAGTGGAAATTATGTATGTCACTTCTGAGCAAGACTTTAAATGTGCTTGTGTGGTTGGCTCCGTGTCCCTTCTTATTCTGACCTTTCACTATGAGAACAGTACGCACCAGATGCACACGTAAACCTGAACAGAGTTAACAAAGCCCCAGGCAGAGCTGCAACTGACTCACAGGAGACATGCTGTGTGAGCAGCAATAGGCTTTTGCAATTATAACCCACTGAGATTTGGGGGCTGTTTGTTAGGCAGCATAATCTACTAAACTATGACAAATTCAATGACCCTCAAACCTACCACGGCCTTTTTCTAGTACCACAGGGTCTATTTTCTAACTGCATATTTTGTTGGCATCTCCAACTCAGTTTGTTTAAAAATTAACTCATTAGGGTTTTTTTTTTCCTTTCCTTTCAAAAAAGTTCCTCCTTCTGACTTCCCTGTTTCTATAAATATGACCTTGATCTTTGAGTTAACTTGGACTTCAAACTTTGGAATCAGCTTCCAATCTCCCTCTGTCTTGCTACTTCCACATTTAGTTAATTGCCAACCCTGTTGAATTATTTTCTTTACTTCAATAAATGCTTATGAAAACCTACTATATGTCTAGCATGGCTCTTGTCTCTGTGGGGTTTAGAGGTGAATATGACACAGCTCCTGCCCTCAAGAAGTTTTCAGTCAGATCTGGGAGCAGGATCATAAAGATGATTTCAGCACTATACTATTCGTGCCGTGATAAAATTATCTTGTAGGTGGAGAGAGGAGGCACTTAACCCGGCCTGCACGTTCACGGAAGGCTGCCTGGGGGGAAATGATGCCTGATGCCTGAGCTGGCATTTCAGGAATGAGTAAGCAGTACTGAGGAGAGGGGGATGGGGACAAGGCAAGCAGGCAGACTCTTCGGAGGAGAACCAGGAAGGCATGGTTGAGTGTGGTGGACTTGGAGAACTTCATGTGACACAATATTATCTAAACACAAACTGTGAGGCGAGGGTAGGAGATGAGATGGGAGGATGAAGCAGGGGTCAGACCATGGAAAAGTTTCTACGTTTTGTTACCCAGCTTAGATTCCAGCCTACAGAGTTAAGGAAGAGAGGCATGGTTAACATCATGCATTAGTGGAAGGGTGGATTATTTTCTATTTTAATTAAAATAGAAAACATTATATAGCACCTATGACATGCCAGATGTCATTCTAAGTGCTAGGCAAATATTAGCTCATGTAACTCCTAACAGCCTACTCTGATTTACCATCTTACAGATAAAGAAATGGAAGCAAAAAGAGCTAAATCTGTCCGTGGCCATAGAGCTAAAGGTGTGAGTATATGGCTTTGAACCCAGGAAGTTTGGGTTGAAATTCAAATGTTGAACCACTACGCTATTTTACCATGGCTGGATGAGAGAGATCTGATCACTGTGATCACACTAGGATAATGTGATTGTACAATGGTAGGATGAGCTAAATAGAGATAGCATGGTTTGTCACGAGGGGCTGATTTAAGAAATGTGTATATGGTTAGATAAGGAAGACTAGAGGTCATTTGGATGAAGAAGGGTTCAGCAGAGAAAGGAGCCAGGATTGACTTGAAATTATTTGGTTCGGCTGACATTGGTGGTGTCATGAGTGAGATATGGAATATAAGAGAAGGAGCAGATTTGAGAGGGAAATAATAAGTTCTGTCCAGAATGTGTTCAGCAGAGGAAGTCAAATAACAGTAGGTTGAGAATTGACTTAGAGGCGAGAAGCTGGAAATGGCAAGCCTCCGTTATTACCACATTAATTCATGTACTTTTATCTAAGAGATACCTGAACTGCATGGCAGAAGCCTCCTAACAGACTCCCCTAATCACTGTCCCTCCCTACTCCAACAAATTCTGCACTCCACATTGAAGCAATCTCCTGAAAGTGACATTTTAATTATGTCCTTCTCTACTTCACACTTTCCCAAGGACTCCACTACTCACCCTTCACCTCCTCAGTCTGGCTTCAGGTCTCAGAAAATCAGTTTCCACCTACTTTTCTAGTCTTGTTCTTCCTGCAGTGCCCTATGCAACATCTTCTAGCTTTATGTTCCCAGTTATCGCTTGTCTTTTCACGGTTTTATATTTTTGTGTATGTTGCCTTCCACTCTCAATGCCTGACTAACAGAATCCTACCCTTATTTCAAGACTCATACAAGATACCTTTTCCTCCATAAACTTTCCTTAATTACTCCAGCCAGAAGGGGTCTTTCCTGTCTCTCAACCCCTACCGTTGTATACAGTTGACACCTCACCTGGCACAGGCTCATGCCCAGTGGCTACTGACCTAAGAGATTCATGTCTCATTTTAAGACTAAAGAACTCTGTACATATTTTATATTCTTTCTATTACAAATGCATATTAAATTAATTACATTAGTCAAGATCAAGGTGAAAAATCATGGTTTTGGGTGCACCAACTTAAAAATAGCTTACCTTGGGGCTTTACAGACAAGTAGCCATCTTTTTCCCATTCAACCTTTTTGGAAGGTGTTCCAGTTGACTTTGTTTATGTCTTTATTATCTCAGACATGATATGGAAAGAATGAGGGAGAGGGAGGAATCATTCCTTTTGAATATATTCTCTAAAGGTTTTACAACATTTTAAAAGCAGTATGCTAACGTGATGGCTACTTAGCTCACAAAGAAAGATATTAAAAGTAGCACTGTGATAACAAACACATGAAGGAGTGCAAAGAGACATTAACTTCCACCGAAGTTTTCAAGCTCAGATATTGGTGGCCATATCAGTCCCAAGTTTCATCCTTTCTGCAAAACATGGAACATATCTTGGTGGGACCAGTTTCTGCAAGCCAAGATGTACATTGGTTGTAACATTGTAGGCATGGTTGCTTTGCATGGTTATTTCAATTTGCAAACCTGCATGAATAGTCTCCCTCAGCTAGATCACGAACAGAAACTTATCTCCCTGTGGGTTCCCTGTAGAACCTAGAGAACAACTTAGAGGAGTTGCTTTATAGATGTTTACTGAATGGGTCACAGTCATCCCCAAAATCCCAGGCATATTTCTCAGGATCAGAATCTTCTGTGAGAAAAAAAATGGTATATACCAAGTGAAACAATCCTCTTTTTAGTTATATATTTTAAAGAAATTGTTAGGCAGGAGAAGCCTGAATGAACTTCATGTTTTAAAAATTAATGTATTATTCATTTTTATCCTGGGCTACTCCTGGGGAAGGTGTGTGTGTGTGTGTGTGTGTGTGTGTGTGTGTGTGTGTGAGACAGAGAGGGAGAGAGAGAAAGATTCAGTTCAAGTTTTCTACACAGCAAGCATGCCTTGTCTTAGTGGCACTAAAGAAATTTCCTTTTCTGCATCTGTATTTAAATGAGGCACTAACTAAAATCAGGTTTCATTAGCCTAAGCCTCAGCTCACACTTAATGAAAGAGCCGGTGTAAATTATTTACTGAATGTCATACTTCAGGTTTTAAATTCAATATATTGTGATACATACACTACATAATTTAAGAGGCAGACAAATTACAATATGCCACCTGCCCCTGTGTCTCCATTCGGTCATTTCTGATGCCTGGGTTAAAATCTCCCTCACATCAATATTTCAGCAGAGACCCTCTAGTTCTCCCCTTTAAAATAAGCCACTATCCAAAAACCTACAAAGGGAAGTAATCCATTTAACTCAGGACAAATCTCATATGCTGAATGATTTAACAGCCCAATTCTGAGCTTCAATAAGTCACTGAAACATGTTGTGAGCAGACGTATCAAATGTGAGAACAGCGAGTCTCCCCAGCCAGCTTGACTCTCTTTCTTTTGCTGTCTTTGGGTCACTGCTCCTGGTGTGTTAAATTTTTTTGTTTGCATCTGTTCCCCTCTCATGGGCCAGAATCCATTCCGCCTGTCCTGCCTGCTCCTTTGCTCTTTCTCTTTCCTCTGTTTTCTTTCCCATTAGTAATTATTTATTAGTCTCTGAGGTGCAGCCCAGGATTTTCATGGTATTTCTCTCACTTCCTCCAGCCCATTTGGTCACTGCTGAGTGTTCAGATGGGAGAGTAGGTTTTGACATGCCCCGTTATGTGGAACTGGAGCAGTATGCTGGAAAAGCTATACAATTACCGGTTCCCTGGCATCGTTTCCTCTCAGCTTTTTGGCCATGAGGGACCGGCTGAAGAGGAAGTGTGGTCCCATGCTCAGAACACATAGTGGTGCAGAAGGTTGGGCCCTGGCTCTGTCTCCTGGCTCTTCCACCAACTCCTTGTGTAAAAGCAATGTGCCCTTAGGCAGTTTCTTTTTGTTGTTCTCATTCTCTCTCTCTCTCTCTCTCTCTCTGTCCTTTTCTGCCTCTCTCTGAAGTCAAGGTTTTGATTGCTGACACCCTCTCACCTGGCATAAATGAATGTGAGACAGAAAACAGTTCATTAAGCCTGCAAAGAATTAAAACGGATGTTTCTAAGGTGCTTTGACATCCTGAGAGAAATAGAGTACCCTTCTATTATTCCTTGGAGAAGCTGAGTTTCTCATATGAGCATGGTCAGAGAGAGCTGGGATCAATGGAAAGAATTTGTATTTACTCTTCCCTTACCCATCCGTAATCACCCTACCTATTTTTAGAGGAGTGTTTCTAGAATTTAAATTGGCACACACATTACCAGGGGATCTTGCTAAAATGCTGCTTTTGAGTCAGTAGGTCTGGGTGGGTGCTACATTCTAACAAGCCGCCATGCCATGCCTATGCTTCTAGTATTGGGACCACACCTACTGTGGCCAGGTGTTAGAGAACTCTCCGCACCCCCATCTGTTACCTTCTCCACACTGTCTACTGTCCTCTCTGGCCGGTCCTCCTCTTCTCTCCCTTCTCTATCTAAACTCGCCAATCTTATGTCCCATTGCCTGAGATTCTCTGTGCTATGTCACCATGATGAAGAGCAGTTTCATGGCTCCAGAACTACTTTTTCACCCTTGGGCAAAAAAGCTCATTCCTCTTCGAAGTTAAAGCCTATGGCACCACCTCTCTGCCTTTGTCACTGGCATTGTGATTTTGTCCATCTGAGTCATTCGGTGGAGGCTGGCACTTGAATCATAACCATCATCCCCCATCCACCTCTTGTGATCAGTCCACAGCAACTCTACAGCCTGCCTCTTCAACACCTGCCCTCACAATTTTTTATTTTTTAAAATAAAAATGAACTTTACCTTCATTCCACTGCAGTTACCACTTCAAGAGCCACACCCCAGACTTGGCCACCAGCCAGAACTGCTGTGTATCAGAGAACTTCAACACTGATATCCTACTCCGTGACCTCCTGTCCTTTCAAGTCTCTTCCTCCCTCCCTATGGCGTGCTTGTTCTTTCAATGCCGTCATCCTTGATGTCACCACTGTCTCTTGACCTCTTGCCTTTGTGTCTTCTCTGGGTCTTCTATATGGCCATCTCAACTCTTTTCTTAGAAGCACACTCAATTTTCTTGAGTTAGTTTCTTTCTTTCTTTTCCTCTCTCTCTCTCTTTCTTTCTTTCTCTTTCTTTCTTTCTTTCTTTTTTATTCTCACTGCATCTGGAGCAACCCCGTCACCTGCCCTTATTTTTCCTACACCTGGGAAACTGAACATGGCTAGAGAAAAATTACCCAGTTGTGCCACCACGAATGTGTTGTCTTAACCTCCGCTGGGCCCGTGTACAACTCTACGACGTATTCATTCATAGATGCTCAGATCCTTGAGCTACTCTTCTGAACTTTCACCCTCTCCTCAAACCTCCAAATCAGTCCATGCTACGCCCCTCATCTCAGTAAATAACCATGCTTCTAAGTACACAAAAATTAGAGGCTTCCTAGGTGAACCTTCTGTCTTCTGCTATCTATAACCTTGTCTTCATCTACACCCGTCTTTACTCGCCTCTTTCTCTACCTTCTCAGATGATGAGGTGCCCTTCCTTTTGCTAAGACCAGACCTAATCACCTGCTCCTGATCACCTCTCATCTCATCCCATTTCTTCCAGGCTCAGTTCAACTAGTTCCAACAGCTTCTTCATCTCTAGCCTCCGTTTTCCTCTGACCCCCTTTTCCCACACCTGCAACATGCTATATGTAATTCTTCTCCTCCGTAATTCTCCAGCCTCATCTCCCACAATCAACCTGCCTCACACATTCACGTGGTTTCTGTGCTGTTCACACATGATGCTGTTTCATGCCTTGATAATTTTGCTGAGGCCGTCTCTAAATGAAACATTCTGTCTTTGCTGTACAGTCTGGCAAATGTCTATTCATCTTACGAAAGTCAAATTTGATGCCTCCCCCAAGCAGGCTTCCGTGTCTCCCACAGTTCTAGTCTGCTTGCTTCCAGGTTACCATCCATGTCTTAAGGTTACCATAGTACGCTTAATTTATTTCCTATATTTTATCGTATTATATATCTATGTGTCTGTCTCCCTTGTGGACTAGGTGCTTTTTGAAGGCAAAGACTATTGGCTTATTTGTTTTTCCCTCTGAAATGACTGGAACTGGCTGGGCATGGTGGCTGACGCCTGTAATCCCAGCACTTTGGGAAGCAGAGACAGGTGGATCATTTGACGTCAGGAGTTCGAGACCAGCCTGGCCAACATGGTGAAACCTCCGTCTCTATTAAGAATACAAAAATTAGCTGAGTGGTAGTGGTTTATGCCTGTAATCCCAGCTACTCAGGAGGCTGAGGCAGGAGAATTGTTTGAGCCTGGGAGGTGGAGGTTGTGGTGAGCCAAGATCGTGCCACTGCACTCCAGTATAGGTGACAGAGTGAGACCCTGTCTCCAAAAAAAAAAAAAAAAAAGATTGGAACAGTGGCTGGAATAATGTGGTTGAGAAATAAATATTGGTGAAATGAATGAATTAATAAATAGAAATCACTCTTAAATATATTATCTTACATGCCACCTTAGTTCCAAATGGCTTTATTTCACAGACCTCTTTTGGGGTCTATTTGTATTTTATCACAGGGCCAACTTTTGAAGCATACTTTAATAACAATAATAACAACATAGGTAATACAATTTTTGACATAACACTATCTGTTTACTGAGTTTATCTAAGGCACCGTGCTAAATGATTCACGTACATGATGCCATTGAATCCTTACGACAGCACTGTGAAGGCAATCTTATTATCATAATTTTAGAGGCGAGGAGCCGAGGATCAGAAAGGTTAAGTACACACCACAGGTCACATACCCAGGAGGTTACAGAGCTCATTTTGAACCTTCGCCAGGCTGGCTGAAAGATGCATGCCCAGTGCACCACATTTGACTTCCCTTTTGGCCCCTGCCTGCTCTTTCCTAGTCCCTGGCCTCTCTCCTTCCTGGTCACATGCAGAGCTTTTCCTGGGCTTCTTCAACATAAGCACCCTCTTCCCCGGCCAGTCTCAGAGCACTGTTAAAAGGGTGGCATTTGGTTCTATATTTGTCCATTGAGTCTACGACACATAATAGTTATTTCAAAGAAGCCTAAGGGTTGAGAGAATTCATTTCTTAATAATCGTTAAGTAATGAAGTGCTACTTAGCACTGTTTGCCTTAGATAAAGAGGACTCTACAGAAGTGAGGCATTCTGTGGTTTTCAGTAGAATGAAGGTTGAGATAGTTGGAACTGTTAAGTTCTAGCTGGCCCTTTCTTTTCTTCGTTTGTCACTAGCGACATTGTGTAGAATAAATTCTGCATGTTCACCTTCAACAAGGAACGAATGAAAATCCAGAACCAAGGCTGATTAGAAAGCCAAGGGGATTTGAGGCCTAGCATGTGTGACCCTGAGGCAAGGAGAATTAGTAGCTCCTTTACCTGGCGACCAGGGGAGGATGCATTTTATCCATACATTCACAGAGGGTGCTCTCTACATAGACTGCTTTGAGACTCTGGATTTAGTAGAAAATCAGGTGAAAAAGATTTGATCAAGGGTTTACCTGACGATTCTCATTTTTCTTATTGTCAGTTAATTGGATATTTGTTTAATGCACAGAATTATAATAAAGTTTTTACTGAAGGCTATATAATTTCATGCTAAATGATTATCAGGGCCTTTTTTAGGACCATCACAATCTCCCAACTCTGTCCAGCTTTCCCAGGTCTATGATGTTAACGTATTGCTGTGCCTGCTATAATGTTAATGACATAATAGCTTTAGATGATCATCCTTAAATCTGAATTTTATTTCCCACTCAACCCACATTTGAAGCCTGCATTCACTTGTCACAAATATCTCACCCAATTAAATTCAAAAAATATATGCATAACTAACAGTCTAAACATGCATATGCATGTGTTTCTTAAAATAATAAAATCTGAACAGAAAAGAAGTTTAGATCATCTTGAATTGTTTAGACATATATTGGGGGTCTATATTATTAGTATATCTTCTGTATACAATTCTGTAAATGTAATCTTATATGTTATTGTTAGTAGTGTTTTTTTTAAGTCTCTAATACATGATAGAATCATATCGTGGAATTTTTATGTCCTCTCACAGGGTTATTTTATCATTAAAAAATATCCTTTGGTTTGTTAAATGCCAAGTACTCAAGGATGCAATTGAGACCATTTCAATTTATCATTCACTTTTTTTTTTTTTTTTTTTTTGAGACAGAGTTTCTCTCTTATTGCCCAGGCTGGAGTGCAGTGGTGCGATCTCGGCTCACTGCAACCTCTGCCTGCCAGGTTCAAGCGATTCTCCTGCCTCAGCCTCCCAAGTAGCTGGGATTACAGGCTCCCACAACCATGCCTGGCTAACTTTTTGTATTTTTAGTAGAGACAGGGTTTTACCGTGTTGGCCAGGTTGGTGTCAAACTCCTGACCTCAGGTGATTCACCCGCCTTGGCCTCCCAAAGTGCTGGGACTACAGGCATGAGCTACTGTGCCCGGCCTATAATTCACTTTTAAAACTTTTGACTTTAGCCTTATTTCCTGTAATAAATGCATATAAAACAACAATTTCTTTATTGGCTCATTTCAGAGAATAAGCACCTTCTCAAGAATACATATAAAACAAGCTTCCCAGACCAAGGTAAACAGAGATCTCCTAAACCTCTGCAGGCAAAGGAAAAGACTGATGCTCTTTGGGTCCCTTCTAGAAATGGGGTTGTAGGATTCCATGGAGGCAATGGCTGTAAGGAACAAGGTACGAGTCAAAAGCCACTCTTTTAGATCACAGAATCCCCAGGAGCTTGTCTCCCAGATAACACTCTGATAACTGTTAGTGTTTGAATTAAAAGGAGAATGCCTTGCTCTTTACCCTCAGCACTAAGCTCTGTTTCTCAGTGTAAACAGGCCCTATCTGCCAGGGTTCTTTTTCCATCTGAGATCAAAATATTTCAACTGTGACATCACCACTGGTTGTTGAGGAAATAATGAGGTTATCACAAATAAAGGCTGTCTCTTTGGAATAAAATGATGGAGCAAATGAAAGCACAGGAATAAAATGCTTGTTTCCTTCAAAAATTCTTAGCCTTCCATGCGGAGGGCAATAAAGATGACCTAGGGAGAAGGAGGCTTTGGTTCAAGTTCTCTGGGAGAGGTTAGAAAAGTAGCAAATTAACCTGTCTGATACCTTATCAGTCAGTTTTGAGTAATCAACTAAGTTAACATTCTTGCCTTTCACAAATCATTAAATCATACACCATGGACCCGGAAATCTCCTAGTTCCTCCACCATGAGGTATGGCTGGAATGTGAGGAAACGTCAAATTAGGAGCACTTTTCCCAACAAAGGAGAGTTAGTGATTCCCTTGGAACTTTAACTCTTTTTAATCTGAGTAAAGTCCTTCCCAGTTAGATCAGGAAGGTAAATTGTTCCTGATTTATGACATTGTTTGATGGGATAAATTGGAACCTAATGGAATTCCACTAAGTTCTCAAAGGAACAGTGATGCATACAATAACCCACAACATCATGCACACAAATACACAACACAGGGCATACAAATGTATTAAGCTTGGGTTCATTCTTCATGGTTTCAGTTAAAGAGTAGCAGGAGGGACTGGCTTGTAGATAATCTTTTTTCTACCTTTCCTTTCTTCTCTTATCAATCTCTTGTCTTCTGGGGTTTGAATTAATGCTATAAACGTTAACTCTGGCCTTAACTTCTCCACACCTCAGGGAAATACAACACAAAGAATGGAGATAACAAAACCAATTAGAAATAGCAGAAACAACAGCAGCAAATTAAGAAACACCACAGTGCCCAGGAAAACTTGTCAAGAAGACTTTTCTATCCTTCCGCAATTGGTTCAGCTTGGGGCTCATATAAAATAGAGATTCTGTAAATTCTTGCTGAATATTTAAGTATTTACTTATTCATTGAGTCACTGAGGATAAATCATCTGCTTATTTTAAAATGTGTAGTCCAAGGCAGATGGATCATCTGAGGTCAGGAGTTTGAGACCAGCCTGGCCAACATAGTGAAACCCCGTCTCTACTAAAATTACAAAAATTAGCTGGGTGTGTGGCACATGCCTGTAATCCTAGCTACATGGGAGGCTGAGGCATGAGAATCACTTGAACCCAGGAGGCGGAGGTTGCAGTGAGCTGAGACCCAGTCACTGCACTCCAGCCTGGGTGACAGAGTGAGACTCTGACTCATAAATAAATAAATAAAATGTGTAGGTATCGGAATTACCTGCAAAACCTCGAAGACCTGTACACTCTCATGCCAGCAGACAGAGCTGTAGCATATGCACTCAGGCTTGCATTCTTGTCCCAGACGCCAGCAGGGCCTAGGACAGCTCTCCCAAGAGATTTCTGAATCCCTGCCATGCTTTGGCTAGGTGAGATTTGATGCAATTTGACACCAAGGGCAACTCTGAAAGGAAGACATATAAAAAAAGTGAAACCCAAGATCGTGTACTTTTCACAAATAGAAACTATGTCTTATTTATCTTTTTGTCTCTTTAAGGTGACTGCCAAGTGTCTGGCACAAAACCTCCCTTAGTGTCTGGTTGGTGGGCTGGGCTTCTCCTCTGTCTTCTGCTGGGCAGAGGGCACATGAGCTGGTTGTATGAACAGCACTAGCTGCTTGAAATAACACCGCTTGCCATGCCAGCATCCAGCCTGCAGGGCTACCTACACCAGTTCTGACCAAGACAGAGACCATTAGAAGTCTCCTCACCAGCAAGAGGGAAGATGAATGGGTTGTCTCCCATATGCATATCCAGTCCGTACAAAAGCCTTTACACTCTTATTTTTGCCAGTCTTCTCCCCAAAAAGCTGTACTTTGGGGAGATTCTGGGGTTTCATTTTAAACCAGAAAGACCACAAGGCTGGCACTTTTCTGTCTAAACTTCCCTCTTCCAAACCTCACTTAGCATATCCAAGAGGTTACAATCTTGAATTCTGCCTGAGTTCCCCAGGACCATTCAGACATTGTTCCAGTTATCTATGGCTTTGTGTGCCAAATCACCTCAGAACACAGTGGCTTAAAACAACAATCATTTCATTGCTCATGATCCTCTGGGTCAGGAATTTGGGCAGGGCTGAGTGGAACAGCTTGTCTCTACTTCACATGGGATTGGCTGGACTAATGCAGCTGCACTCAGCTGTCGGCTGAGCTGGGCTGGGCTGGGCTGGGCTGGGCTGAGCTGGAGGATCTAATATGGCCCTGGTGCTGGCTGGCTGCTGGAGTACCTTGGTTCTCCTTGTGGCCTCTCCTTGAGAGATCTCCATGTGGTCTCTTATGCTCCGGGGCCTTCCTCTCCACCTAGCCTCTCTCTCCAGCTGAATAGCCTGGGCTTTTTCATGTGGTGTCTCAGAATAGTAAGAGTTAAAGTAGAAGCTACCAGATCTCTTAAGGCCTGAGTGTGGAAATCCCAGAACATCCCTTCTGCATCATTCAAAAGCTGGCTTAGTGTAAGGCTCAAGATCAACCCAGATTCAAGAGGTACGGAAATAGACTCCCCCTGTTGATGGGAGAAGCGGCACGAATATGCAGACTTAAGAGAAGTTGTGGCCTGTTATCTCTGTAGATAATCTACCACAGACCCTGTAGTTCGGACCACTGATAGCTGCTGTTCTCTGCAGCCATGCTGATATGCAATGTAACCTTTGAATTCTTGCTTTTCTCAATCTCAGTTTCTCTCCTCACCAGACGAACTACGTGATATGGCTTAGCTAACCCTTGCTCACTCAAGACGTGGCCTGGGACATTCCCTGGTATACACACTCATGACACCAGTCACCATTCATGTGATGGAAGGGGAGCTTAAAGCTTATGCCTTTCAAAGACATCCAGGCCACTTCCTAAGAGAACTGTGCTGGGGAGTAATTTCTACTCCCTCTCCTTATCTCCAGCCTGATCTTCAGTCTAGGTCAAACATTCTTATGGACATGGCTCATTGGGTCTTACCCAAACTTACTCTCCCAACTCAGAGTTTAAGTGCCCTTAAACACTGAGCTGTATGTCCCTGCCCTGTTCCAAGATCTATGGTGTCAGCCTGCACTACCTGTCCTTTCCCTAACATCTATCTCTTGGTTAAAATGCCAGCATTGCATGTTGCATGGGATGGAGAATGGGAAATGGCAACTGATTAGAATGCATGGGTTCAGCCCCACCTTGACACTGATCCTTTGTCCCCGTCCCCCTCCCCATAACCTTAGGCCATATTCCAAGAGATGATCTTTGTTCTCTATTGAGAAGGGCTGTAATTGACACACCTCCTAGGATGCTTTTCTATATCTCCAAATGGGTAAAAGGTCACATCACATATTTTATATGCACCTTCAGGCTTTGGTGGAACATTGTGATTGGATGAGGATTACAGGAAAATAAAAATCAGCATGGCATCAAGGAAAACACAACTAAATATTGTCTGAAAATAAAATGCCTAATCTGCATTTGGAAACAAACCTACACTGCGTATCAATTTCACACGCTTAATCTATACTATTTCACATGGCACTGTGGTTCTTAAGCGTCATGGACCATGTTTGTTAGAAATATAAGGAAAGGGGGATAAACTATTTTCCCAGAAAAATGCACAAGTGGATAACATTTCGCATTCATTTCAGGACATTTCCTATCCCCTGAGTTTCATCCGTGAATTTCTTATAAAGAATTTTAGATGAAATGGGAGGTGGCCTTTTGGAAAATCTCATTTAAATGGAGATCAATTTAGAGTAATTTTATCGAGAATTATATGGTCAGGACACGTGCATCCTCCTTAAGCATTCCATTTTAATTATTGTCTCATGTGGATCTTATTACGTAGGTGACCTTCTGCCCTTTGGTCATCTCCACCTTTCTTTCGAAAGATCTGATGGAAGTACTCTTAATAACCACGTAAGCTTTCAAGGCAGTGCCCCTTCCTTGGAGAAGGAAAAAGCTTTCTTAATCTATGCCTCACATGAAGTACAGTGCTGAGTTTTGTAAGAGGAGGATCGTACCCTGAAGGGTTTTGGTGACAATCCAATTTTCACATGAGCATCATAAACTGAAATTACCAGTTGCTATATATCCTGTCTATTCTCCTATTCTTCAAAGAGATACACAGTCCTCTAAGGAGACAGAAATAAATGCGCAAAAGGTCATGTGTAGTTTGGGCATTTCTGGGGCCAGGTACTAAGTCCATTTTGATGGGCAACGTCAGTGGATGCCTTGCTCTTAATGATTTACCATTTCTAAGGAGATCTAAGTAGAGTCATGAAATGTAACCTGACAGAATCTGAAAGTAATTAAGATTTCTTAAGATGTAGCCCAGCACCACATTTTGTGTATACAATTCAAGTACAATGCCCAGTTCAATACATATCCAATTGTTAAGGCAGCCTTCACATACCACGTTTTACTAATTTGTCTCATTTCTAAGTTATCGTGGGTTTGATCCTGACTATGAAGAGGAAAATAAGATAATGTAATAACACCCTGGGCAGGTAGAATGTCTTTTATCAGTGATCTCAAAACATCTCACAAGCATTAATTACTTCTGAAAACATGCTGCGAGGGAGATGGGGCTATGACCATCGTGCTGATGAGGAAGCAGATACTGGTTGGGCATTGGTAACTTATGATAAACCACAGGATCTTGACAAGGTCCGGATGAGAAAGGAGGAAAAATGGCCAACCCCGAGACACAGCCTTCAAGCTACTTCCTTGCCCAGGTTGGTTCATCAGCTGCCAGTCCACTCTGTTCTGGCTGCACCCATCCTCACCACTTCCTTTTTCCTTCTTATCTGATCATCTCTGGTCTCATCACCAGGCCCCTCTTTGAAGCAGATAGTGTTCAAACTGAACTTTATAAGCTGGGCTTCTTGCAAAGCAATAAAAAGAAATCAAGGGAGAACTAAGTATCACACGTTTCTCAGGCCCTCCAGAGGATTCATGTACAGCAGCCTGGGTTATAAATCTCAGACTCTATCAAACCCGCCTTGGCCCTTGAAGACTCAGTTTGGAATGCATTGTCCTTCCTGTGGTCACTTGTGATAAGATACTATCTGGCCCTATAGCATTCCAACACATTGGGTGAAGAGCAGCTAATTTTAGCCTTGTGTGTTGTACATCCCACAACATAAACTAGGTGAAGCACTGTTAAGAAAGTAACTGCTGATCATTGGGTATACATGCTATGGTTTGCTCTTTTTTTTCCTTTATCTTCATGAATCTTTTCATTTTCTGATCACACTCAGGAAAACACATTCAAGCCTCTGTGCAGGATTAACATCTGAGTCAGGATAAAGCTACGCCATGAACGCTCACAAAAGCCATCCTGTTAAAGAAAATTCTAGAAGCTCCTCAACATGTCATAGCCCCTCCAGTGGACAACACCCTCCTCTCTGCTATTAATATATAAATTTTGTGATAAAACAAAAAATATATGTCATTCTGAATATTTCTGCTTTCCTCTCTTCTCCTCTGCCTTCTTCAAAATAGGCAACACATAAGAGATGAAGTTTTAAACAGTGATAGCCACTGTAGAATGAAGTATGGACTACAAAATAAAATCATGATAAGTTCGTTCCATGCCACGTCACTAGAGAGGAAGGTTATACACAACTAGGGAAAAAAATCTTTTTTTTCCATTGACCCACTCAAAACAAGCTATGACTTCACCAGGGCTGGATATCTGGTGAGTTCCACTAGAATATCATGCTCTGGAATTTAGGAATTAGAGGAAGGGGCCAGAGGAAATTTTAAAATAGACCTAGAGGGTGGTGAGGCCTGGTTCACAGATCTGCTGCGCTGTGTAACCCACAGCCCTCTGGGAACTGTAGCAGTGATGTGTTTTACTTTTCTATTTTGAGCCTGTGACTCACATTACAAATATTGACTTCTATTTCTCTATTAGCATCAGATTTTTTCTTGAATCCTCCAAATTGACTTTGACTATAACTTTGGTTAATATTAAACCTCTTGGGTCAACACATTTTTATAGCTGTGAGCTGCTGCAACCACATGGAGTAGGGATTGGCAAAGAAGCAGTGCAACCAGGATCAGGACACGGAGAGGCTCTTTCCAGGCCTCCCTCCCCCGGCCCTGGACTACCCCGCATACTCCTGCCAGATTCATCTTCCCAAAGCACCAGTGGCATCATGGTTTCCTGGGTAAAAGCCTTCCATTTGGTACCCCTTTGCCAACTGAGGAAGATTTGAATTCCACACCCAAGCACTCCAGGATATGGAAAGGCTTCGCTCTCACAGACCCCAAGGACTTCACCCAAACAAATCACTTCCATACACATACATCATTTCTCCTTTGCCTTAATACTCCAAGCACTTTGGGCCTTTCTTTTGATACATAAGTCACACATGAGAGTATGTAAATTCTCACTCAGCTTCTCCTGCTGTCTCCACCATAGGCCCTGATATACTCACCTTTGTTCCCTCTAAACACCTAGCACCAGAGCCAGGCACCCAGGAGATAATGAATAAACCTTTGCTGAGCTGAATTCTGTTTCAAAGTTTATCTATTTCCTTTAAGCACATGATTAATAGTGACATGAAGTAATCAAAATAGCTGCACTGCAAGGTGGTTGGAGCAAGATGTCTCAGGGAAAATGGAATGATTTTTGCTAATACCCAGCTAAAAACAAAAAACACACATATTAGTATTATTTTTCACCATATCTGGGATAGAAAAATAAATCACAGCCAGAGTTGTAGTAAGCATGAAAATATAAATTATAATACAATAAAAGTAGAAACCCACAGAGAACACAGCATCCTAACCACCCTTTTACCATGAAGTCTTTTTGAGGATACACTAAACAGAGCATGAGATGTATTTTTCACTCACTTCTACATATTTTCTAGTGTGTGATTGTTAAAGAGAAAACAATGGAAAGTCAGGAAGAGGATGCAGAAAGCAGGAAGAACTGGAGAAAAATTAAAAAGGGAGAGGAATCTAAAAACCAGGTATCTCACAAAACAGAAAAAGAATCCTTGACAACATAAAGTGGATTTGACCTCTCTTTTACGGAACTGAAAGCAACCAGATAAAGTCCAATCCCTTTGTTTGCAGCTGAGAAAACGGAGTGGGGTGGAGGGCCAGGGGGCTAAATTATTTCATTTCCTCAGGGTACAAATACTGTAACTGAAGGCAGACATTTTGGTCATTACGGTTGGAAATACTAAGCAGGTTAAAAAATCAAATGGAGCCCAGGTGCTGCTGATAGAGTCCTTCCAGTTGACAAGTGTTTTATCGTGTCCCTACTCAATACCAGATCCTGAGGATACAGGAGGGAATTCTTGATTTAATCAAAATAAATTCAAGAGTTTAGATATGCCCTTTTTATTCTAGGGGACTGAAAAAAAAGACTGAATTATTCTAAAAGTTGGTTCATATGTAGCATTCTCAGCCATGTTAGGCAAGTCTTCTAATTTTCCACAGGTTTGATAAATGCCTTTAGCTCATATATTATTGCCTAGGCTCAATCATTGATTGGCATTTGCTTTCCTGATCTGTGATTCATCTTTGTGGTATTTCCAATCAATTGCTGATATATTGGTCTCTTTGGCAATGTAGGCCAAGGTGTGAGTGCAGTTGCAGGTGGGCTTCTGTGCCCACTGACCCATCTCTCATCCACTCTCTAGTGTTTCTGCAATAAACATAGTTGACCCATATGCATTTTGGGCCTTTCATCAGCTGCTTTTTTTTTTTTAATCAACTTTGCTTTTTCAAAACACAAATACTCATTTGGTTTCAGAAATATCAAGGAAGCAGTAGGCTATTTTGTCAAATATTTTGTCAAATCAACCTTTCTAGAAAGTCTATGAGTGATTTGTGAGTTTTCTCATGGTTTGTAATAATGGACAAACAGGGAGCATATGTTTCCATTTGATCATATCCCTGTGGATGCTGAAAGTCCATATTTTCCTGTTGCTAAAACTTAATGGAAACAAAACTAAATAAAAAAAATCCCTCAAAAGGAAAGTAGCAACACTTCTCTTATGACTCATTTTCAATGTCAATAGAAAGATTTGTTTCCTCTGAAGGAGCACTTCAAAAAGGAAAAAACAACTAAAAATTCTAAAGCAAAATAAAAATCCCACTACATATTTTATTATTGTAAAGCCAAGAGAAAAAGTGTCTGTGGCCAAAATATTTTTTTTCATTCAGTTGTACATTCTCACTCTTTCCTCCTTTCAAAGCAAACAACTGGCCCATCTTCACCTTCCCATATAGGCAGGTGTAATAATACATTTGTGATAAAACAAAAATTGAATATTCACTGAAGTTTGTTAGGAATCAAGTCTGAGGTGAGGTTACCTTGCTCCAGACATTCAATGATAGGCATATCAACTTAATATCTGACTGTGTCAACTTCCCTGTGCAGTTTTTATCAGTTTTAAATAATATTGACAGCCACAACAACAAAAACAGCTAAGAGTAGTGAGAGATTGCTAAGTCTCAAGCACTATAGAAGCAGGCCAGATTTAGAGGTAAAACAATAAAGTTTGAATTCTTACGAAACAAACTCCTATGCCCAGCACTTTGGATTTGAATTGACTTTGCTTCTCAGAGCTCAGGAGAGAAAGATGGAAGGAGATGAGTTCAGGAAGTCATGATGACCAACTCTGAAGTCTACTGAAAAGGTCAGGCAAAAAGTAATACAGAAGAGGGGGACACTCCCTCTGGGTGTCACCCCTCACCATTGCACCCCAGTACAAGGCATGTGCCTGGCATTTAGTGTGTTCAGTAGGCATTTTCTGCATGGGAGGAAGGCCTGCATCCCAAAGGGATTTCTGGAACATTCACAACCTCTGCTCCTAATGGCACATGGCCCCCAGGACAAAAGAAAGAGAGAGAAGATACAGGCTAAATTGGAGAACTATTATGAGCACTTCTGCTTAATCTGATTCTGCTTGGGAATATTGAAGAGTTGGAAGCTGTTGAAGACCAAATTGGGCAGATGGGAGTGCCTGCCTCCCTCTGGGCTCAGGATTTCTATCCTCTAATGCCTGCGGTTTCAAGGCTGTCACAAAGCCTTGACAACTTCTCACTTTCAAACACTAAATGGGCACGATTAGCCTGTGATCTATGTAGGATTAAATGCTCAGCTTCCCTTTCCTGATTTCTTCCAGCTCACGAGACCCGCAGGCCAAAAATACACTCTCCCTGCTGCCCACAAGGCCGCAGAGCCCCGTCATAGTTCCTGCCCTCTGAGTGTCCTTCCCGTTTTCGACCCCTTTTGCTATCACAAGCTTCTTTCCTGTTGTGCAGTCTAATTTACCAGTTAGTACAGGCAAAATGTCCAGCAAAAAGCTGTGTCCCTGGGCTTTGTGCGTGCTCTGTCCCTATCCTTAAGTTTCCATCTCACATGTTAACTGGACTCCCTGACTTATTTTGCCCCTTCTGCGCCCTGTACCTTATTGCTCAACAGAAGACATAGCTTCAGGCTTCCCAAGATCATTACTGTGCTGGCCATGGACTAAAGTGTCCCTTAAATCAAGCTGTTTCCCACTTATCATCACACGCACACCTCATCTAACAAGACTATGACCATCCAGCATGTCATTTCCAGGTCCAACTTCCAGGCAGTGACCATTGATGGTAATTGCTCTTATAAGAGCATCTGTGCTAATGTGATATTTGTCTTTGAGGCAACTTTGCCTTAACTAGGTGGGAAAGCACACATTTTCAAAAGTTATTCAAGACCTAGTGTAATAGTTTAGATTTTGGCACAGTGAAAAGTCAGGGGCCAAGGGTTATTGGAATGCCTCTCAACCATACCAGCAGGTAAGTGTTAGTGTTTTAAACTCTGATTATGTTTCCCGCAGCCTCAGCCTTTACTGCTGCCTCTCTGCACTTAGAAGCCTGTCCTCTCTGTGGCCCTCAGTGAGGACTTGATAAACCATTGACCTCAATTATTAAGTGTGGTGCAGAAACAATATTAAACCTGACTCTTGGTTCCCTGTTGAGCTATCATGTGTCTTTCAGCAACTTGGCAGGAACCTTTTTCTCACCCCATGTCCTTCCTATTACCCTGCAGCATGTCCTGAACCCTCCAAAGCAACCCCAGAAACTCAACTCTGGCTTCTCAAGAATGAAATTGTTGGACACCTGTGCTGGTAATTTTGCAGGTCAGCACTCAATCAACAGGCTCCTTCCTGCCCTAGCGTCCTGATGGTCACCTGGGGTCATGAGGGCTACTCTTTCTATCACTAATCACTGCTGATTCCTGGGAAGCAGAGTTGAGCCTACCAAAAAGGAAGTTGAGTCATCCGCAAGCAAAGAGTTGCTTTTGTGTTTTGCTTTGTTTTAAAAATCTGAGTCTTATAGGAGTCTGGATAGGGGTTTGGAAGGGTCTTCCTCCCTCCAGGTCAGCACAGTCTGCAATTTCTAGGACAGCTGATTGCTGCATCATTAACCAAAAGAAACCCAGATACTCCATTGACTATTAAAATAATTAAAAGAGCAGATTATATATATTTACCAAACACATTGTGACATGAACATCTTCTGTATCATTTAATTCTCACAGCAATCCAATGAAGCAGGTACTGTTATTATTTGCCATTCTAGAGATGAGGAATGAAGTAAAAAGTCAGTGATGTGCTGGTAAATCTCACAGCTCACTCCACAGGCCAAAAAGAAAGAAAGAGAGAGAGAGAAAGAGAAAGAGAGAGAGAGGGGAGAGAGGAAGGAAGATGGAAAGAAAAGAAAAGAAAAAAGAAAGAGAGAGAGAGAAAGAAAGAGAAAGAAAGAAAGAGGAAGGAAGGAAGGAGGGAGGGAGTGAGGGAAGGAAGGAAGGGAGGGAGAGAAAGAAAGAAAGAAAGAAAGAAAGAAAGAAAGAAAGAAAGAAAGAAAGAGAGAGAGAAAGAAAGAAAGAAAGAAAGAAAAAGAAAAGAAAAAAGAAAAGGAAAGAAACCCATCCAATGTGTAACATTTGCCAGCCAGTTTCTGAAGGGGGTAAATCTTCACTACATCATAGAAATTTTTTCGTTTTGTTTTGTTTTTGAGACGGAGTCTCACTTATTCTGTCTTCCTGATGGAGCCCAGTGGTGCGGTCTCGGCTCACTGCAACCTCCGCCTCCTGGGTTCAAGCAATTCTCCTGCCTCAGCCTTCTGTGTAGTTGGGACTACAGGTGCCTGCCACCATGCCCACTAATTTTTCCTTTTTGTATTTTTCGTAGAGACAGGGTTTTGCCATGTTGGTCAAGTTGGTCTGGAACTCCTGACCTCAAGTGATCTGCCTGCCTTGGCTTCCCAGAGTGCTAGAATTCCAGGCATGAGCCACCGTGCCCGGCCCGTCATAGATTTTAAACTACCAATGTGATGCTGGTGAACACAGAGTTGGGAGAGATGTGCAAAATCAGCTTTTTTGAGTTGGCTCCAGCACAACTCTCCAGACAGAGCAGTTGTTACTTCCTTCCTGTCATGGAGCATGTACCTGGTAGAGCTGAAGTTTAAATGCAGAGAAGACTGGCTCCAAATTCCATACTCTCAACCACTAACAAAGCACAGCTAGAGCCAACTACCAGGGCCCCCTCTGATCAGCAGGTTGTTTGGAATGCTTATTTTAAGTAATCAGTTAATTTCACAGATAATCACAATGGTATTTGTTGGCAGAGATGAAATGACAACATGTCTCGATCATTTTTGTCTTTCCTGCATCTGAGATAGTACCAGCATGTTTTAGGCACTCACACATGTTATCAGAATTTTACCAAGTTTAATAGGCTGTCATTAAAAGGATGTGGGATGTTCTTTGGTTAAGTCCTTAGAGGATTGAGGATTAGTATTCTGGAGATGGGGCAGGTGAGAGTGCGGATGGGGGGAGCTACATGTCGGAGTGCAGAGACTGGCAGAGCGGGGTGGGGCACGAGGCCCTTGGAGTAGACTTTTCCCACTTGCCTTTTTCCCTAGGCTGACCCTGCTGCTCAGAACTCTGAGTGGAGCATGGTTGGGGACACCCTACCTGCTGAGACTTATTTGTCTTCTTTGCTGCATTAGGCCGCTGATGAGTCACTCTTCTCTGGCTTTCAAGTAACAGGTGGAGACAGAAGAGGCAGGGCCCTCCTCGCAGATCAATGCTGGCAGCTGCCTGAGGTATGAAGCTGGAATGTGTGACGTCTCCCAGTTTTGCTTCCAGATCAAGGGATGAGTCCACAATTTCACAGCCTTCAAAGTGAAAACTGCAAGGCTCTGCTACATGGTATCAATTTGGCTGACCTGAGAAATAGCGAGGGGTGGTTGGGGTGCCCCTGCAATATGCCAACGTAGAAACTAGTTAAGGCATAAGCTATGATTGGCCGAAAATCCTTATATGATCCCTGGTGAAGACAAACCTTCATCTGGGCCAGACAGACACAGCACATTTGCACACATGACCCTATTTGATCCTCACTAAAACCACGAGTAGACTGTTGTTATCCCCATTTGTCAAAGGAAGAAACCCTTCAGCATATCCTTCTGGCCTGGCAGGAAGTTCCCAGTCCACTCAGATGCTGAACGGAAAAGACTCTAGAGAAGTGACTGCATGCAGAGGTGTGGACAGGATGAAGCGAAGCAACAGGGGGCTAAGCCACCAGGGGCTAGCAACAGCGGGAGCCTGTACCATCCCCAGGCTTAGAGCAGAGGGGAAGGGTCAATGCCAGCAGAACCCAGAAAGAGCTGCGGCCACGGGAGGGAGGCCACTGACTGGGGTCATGGCCATTAGCGAAGGTGTGATCACTGTCAACACCAGAACTGACCCGAAGGAATGTGGAGACAAACACTCCAACTTCTCTCTCACATCACGGAAGCTAGGAGGCACAGGAAGTGGGTCCCAAGGGTCAGCCTCCTGGGCACAGAGCAGGACAAAGAAGGGCAGAGGATGCATCTGGGGGGACACATGGAGAACGACCAGCATGTGAAATAACTTCTCTAGGCTAGCAGAGGGAGTGTCTGCTGGCAAGACCAGAGAGGGAACACAAGCGTCCTGTTGCAAAAGAGAGAGCCAGGAGACAGGGTCCAGAGCCCAAGAGTCCACGTGGCTTTGACCAAGCCACTTCAGTTCCCTTGGTCTCAGTTTTCACCTCTAAAACGGAACACCAGACTTAATTAACCATAAGACATTGCCACTTGAATAGTCATAGTTCTTCATTCTCCCCCAGATGATACTCTTTGCCTCACACCTTGCTGAAATTGGAATTAATTTCCCTCTTCTCTTCTTTTCTCTCTTTGGACATAAAATGCTTAGGGCATATTACACATGAAACAACAAAGGACACCACAAAAGGCGAGTATTTCTCAGTCACCATTTGTCAGCCCAATGAGCAGGACTCATGAGACATGGAGAATTCCTGGTTACTCAAGGCAGCAGCAGGAGTTACTATTGCTTGGCTGGGAGTCCTGCCACACAGCCCTGGCCTCAGTGTTTACTGCAGGGCATGGGGGCTTTAGAGAGGATGGGGGGCTGGCTACCCAAACAGTGTTGGTGGGAGAATGGGGGAAGAAGCTAGATGTATAAACATACACATACATATGCACACACACACACACACACACACACACACACAGGGCCACACACAATCTATGCAACTTTTCTGGACATATTTTTAGGATGATCGGTGTGTGCCACATTGCGATTCACTAATACTATACAACAAACAGAGGCGGCATGGAAGACTTGAGGAGTGCCAAAACTCTTGAAGTTTTTTGTCTTTTTCAGCCATCAGGCAACCTATTTCACAATGAACTAATTCAGGGAGATGGAAAAGGCTGGAAAAACTTGTATATGCAGTAGAAGTTCAGCCTATTCATGTCCTAAAATGGAATCATTCATAACTGAGAATTTATGTAAACGACACAAAATAATGATTCTGGGCCTGGAATGCGGTTGGACACCCAGCCTTCTGGATTATTCTTTTGCTATTTAACTCTCCTTTCAAAGGCAAGACAGCTGACATTTTTACAATCATTGTACTATAAAAGGAACAGTTGAAAAACGAATGTCCAGTGAACAAACACATGTCCGTATGTGGGTTATCTACCCACATCTCTGAGTATTCCAGCTAGCAGGGCCCATCATACCCTTTTGGGTCACCTGAGGTCATCTGCAGTAGTTCTCAACACACAGATGGTCTCCTGTGTCTCTCTGCCTGAGGTTGCTCTCTGGCCACAGGACTGTGCTTGACCCATGTGCCAAGGCATTGGTGCCCTAGGAGCAACACGTAACTTCTGAGGTATGGAAATTAACATGGCAGGAATACCGCAAGTTCTTTGCCCCTCACTGGGACAGCTCTGAGCATGTTCCACACAGTCTCTTAGAACTGGGCTCCCCAACCCCTGGGCCACAGACTGATACCAGTCTATGGTCTGTTAGGAACCAGGCTGCACAGTAGAAGGTGAGTGAGTGAAGCTGCATCTGTATTTAAGCCATTCCCCATCGATCCCATTACTGCCTAAGTTCTGCCTCCTGTCAGATCAGCCAGGGCATTAGACTCTCATAGGAGTGCAAACCCTACTGTGAAGTGCTCATAGGAGGGATCTAGACTGTGTGCTCCTTATGAGAATCTAATCCCTGATGATCTGTCACTGTCTCCCATCACCCCCAGATGAGATGGTCTAGCTGCAGGAAAACAAGCTCAGGGCTCCCACTGATTCTACATTATGGTGAGTTGTATAATTATTTCATTATATATTACAATGTAATCATAATATAAATAACGTGTACAATAAACATAATGCACTTGAATCACCTCCAAACCATCCCCCACCACCCCAGTCCGTGGAAAAACTGTCTTCCATGAAACTGGTCCCTGATGCCAAAAAAGCTGATGACCACTGTCTTAGAGGGTCCATGGTGGGATTAAGCCTCAGTTGCTCATAAGGGTAACCACTCATCCATTCATGTGGCCTTCCTTCCTTCCCTTTCTCCCCTTACTTCCCCCACTGTTCTCCCCAGAATTACCTCTCAAAAAACTGCCTGCATCCAAATTCTTGCCTCACACTTGCTTTGGGGGAACCCAGACTAAGATAATATCTTTGTGCAAATTAGAAAACGATGCCCCTTCCTCCAGGCCAGTTTGCAGCATGTTGGGCAGAGCACAGGCTGGGTTCCAATGCCCCTCTGTCCTCACTGTGCCCCTTGTGCAGTGAACAACTTACACCAATGCACACAGGCACTCTGGTATCACAGACCTCACTTCTTTAATGTAAAAATTAAATAAGTTAGTGCATGCAGAAATGCATGACACACAGTAGGTGTGCCATGCATAGCAGTTTCCTTCCTCTACGTTTGAAATGTTCACACTGGTTTTCTCAATCTTTTAAATTACTTTTTAGCTTTTTCCTTTTTCTTTATCTCTGCCTTTTCGATGCTATAAGTGCCCCACATTTTTGTGGGGGAGGGAGGGTTTTTTTTTTTAATTATACTTTAAGTTTCGGGATACACGTGCAGAACGTGCTGCTTTGTTACATAGGTATACGCATGCCATGGTGGTTTGCTGCACTCATCAACCCGTCATCTACATTAGGTATTTCTCCTCATGCTATCCCTCCTCTAGTCCCCTAACCCCCAACGGGCCCCGGTGTGCGATGTTCCCCTCCCTGTGTCCATGTGTTCTCATTTGTTCAACTCCTATTTATGAGTGAGAACATGCGGTGTTTGGTTTTCCGTTCCTTTGTTAGTTTGCTGAGAATGATGGTTTCCAGCTTCATCCATGTCCCTGCAAAGGACATGAACTCATCCTTTTTTATAGCTGCTTAGTATTCCATGGTGTATATGTGCCACATTTTCTTTATCCAGTCTATCATTGGTGGGCATTTGGGTTGGTTCCAAGTCTTTGCTATTGTGAATAGTGCTGCAATAAACATATGTGTGCATGTGTCTGTATAGTAGAATGCTTTATAATCCCTTGGATATATACTCAGTAATGGGATTGCTGGGTCAAATGGTATTTCTGGTTCTAGATCCTTGAGGAATCACCATACTGTCTTCCACAATGGTTGAACTCATTTACACTCCCACCAACAGTGTAAAAGTGTTCCTATTTCTCCACATCCTCTCTGGCATCCATTGTAAACAGGCAACCTACAGAATGGGAGAAAATTTTTGCAATCTATCCATCTGACAAAGGGCTAATATACAGAATCTACAAGGAACTTAAACAAATTTACAAGAAAAAAACAACCCCATTAAAAACTGGGAGAAGGATATGAACAGACCCTTCTCAAAAGAAGACATTTGTGCGGCCAACAAACATATGAAAAAAAGCTCATCATCACTGGTGATTAGAGAAATGCAAATCAAAACCACAATGACATACCATCTCACGCCAGTTAGAATGGCGATCATTAAAAAGTCAGGTTGTTTTGTTTTAAAGGCTCATGTACACTTAAAAATTTGTTAAGAGGGTAGATTTCATGTTAGGTGTTCTTACTACAATAATTTTTAAAAGATCACATGTTACTCATAAGAAAAGAAACAAGAGAAAGCTCAGGTCTTTGCTTGCTCCTTTTCACATTCAAGCTTGATAAACTAAAATTGCTTCTGGCTGGCTTTAAGGTTGCCTGTTGAAGTAGTTGAGATAACCACTGGAAATGGGGAAGGAGAAGCTGCTGAGAGAGAATGTTGCCTTGAGCCCAAGGCAGTTCCTTTAGGAGTGCCCCAAAAGCCCAGCCCTCCCAGGAATGACGGCTGGAAAGATCATTCGAGGACACGCAGCTTTGCCTACGCTGGGCTACTGACTCGCCTACTTTACCTGCACTGATTCTTTAACTGAGTGAAACAAATGGCTTGACTAATATTTTTGCCCTGAATCAACCACTTATTTGGACATCTAGCAAACACAGGGTCTCTGTGAAATAGGATCAGGTAATGTCAGCTCTGCACCGGCAGACAGACACAGACTGGATGCAGAGCACATTACTGTTTAGGAAAAATAAAAAGATGATTAGGCATTTATTATTCGAGCTTAGGAAGGAAATTAGCCACTTGCCCTGAGAGTGGATATCATCAACCTGAAATGCCCAGCTATTTGTATACCTATTTAAAACTGAGTTTGAATGCCTGGTAGTAGGAAGATGGAACAAATGTTCTTTTTATCCAGTTGTTTTAAAACTGTGTGGTTAAAAGACACATCTGTTTGGATGCCGTTCCTCTTGGGATTGCCTGACTTGAATTTTAAAAACCAAAAGGGTTTTTAGCTGGACATGATCATTAGCTGGGTACCATGCTCTGTGCAGAGGGGAGGACCTGACAGTGGCCTTTCCTTGCATTGCAATGAAGCCTCCCAGGGGTGGCATTGCAGAGCTCCAGCTGCACGGGGCCTGTGAGGCCGGACGCAGTGTGTTCTTCTGAGGATGGGTGATTGATGTGAGCGAGCTCAGAGGCCCAGGAGTAAATGAGTCAGCAGCAGGGAGCAGAAGCAATGAAACAGGGGTATTCTCTCGAATCTTTGCTTATTTTGGGACAGCCCGATACTCTTCTCAGAGGGAGCAAATAAATAGTGGAGGGAGACGCGCTTATGTAACTCATTTCTAAAACAAGTGGGTGACGTCACTGAAGGAATCAACAGCTTAATTAAAGAAGTTAAATAGAATTGATGTAAACACAGCTGGCCTCCTTTCAATGTAGACTCATACTATTCTTAGCTCCACCACTAATTAACTGTGTGAACTTGGACAAGCATGCTGGGCCTCAGTTTCCTCAAACATAAAATGAGCAGGTCATCCAAGGCAATGGCCCAGCTACTTTCCAGATCTAATATCCCTCAATTCTATCACATATAAATAGTGGCAGAAGTTTTCCTAATTGTTGCAATGACAATAGTACCTAATATTTCCTGAGCACCTCCTATGTGTCAAGAACCATGATAGAGGCTTTAAAATATATTCTATCAAAACACATGATCTCACCGTTTCCTTTAAATAACCTCATGAGGTAGAGAACATTATTATCCTGATTTTGCATGTGGAGAACCTGAGGCCATAAAAGATTATGGCCCTTGGACAAAGTCATGTAGTAAGTAGTTGATTTGGTAAGGGTCTCAGCAGGAAAGAGATGACATATTGAAAGGATTTAATTGAGAATAACTTAATATAGGGGCTCCTTATGGATCTGTGGGCAGAGCTAAAACAACCAACAGGGAATGGCCAGGCACTGGAACTGTCAAAAGCAAGGGAGCCCAAGGAGATATGGGAATGAAGTGGATGTCACTGGAGCAAGGCAGAAGCAAAGGAGATGGGACACCTGTCTGGAGCTGGAGCATGGAGGAGCACAGCCACCATTAGAACCACAGACAAGCAAGGCGGAAGCAAGAGGAAGAAATATCCCAGCCTCTCCCTCTTACTGCCATCCTGCATCCTGCTAGACCCTCTCATTGCCTATACACAATCAAAGCCAAAGGATAAAGGAGCCAGGGAATGTAGTCCCTGAGGTCAACCTCTTGGTGCAACAGCAGGGCAGAAGAAAAGAGAGAAGGGGTCCAGGGACCACATGGAGAATAATCAGCAAAACAAAGCCAGGGTTGTAGCATTGCTCTCTCTGAGTCCAAAGACCATGAACCTTCCCACTGGGTCCAGCTAGATGACAGATGTGTAAGAAGGCGTATTGCATACACTAGACTATAATAAGATTATTGGAACTTGAGAAGCTGTAAATTCCTTGCCAATGTCTCCATGGTCCTGGTCATCAACGTTAGTGGCATCACGACAACTCATATCATAGCATCCTCACTACATTTATGGTTTTTCCCTTGAAGACATATCAGTGGGTTTCTAGTGCTGCAGGAATGGGAACGTGAGGGGGAGGAGGGTGGAAGAGCATTACTCATACGTCTTTTCTTACATAGTGTAATAATATTTAACGTTTGAATGTAAGTTTCAATAAAGAAGCAGGCCCCGATGCGCACAAACACATGGAGTTGTACACTCTTTGGTCTACTATTCTTTTTTTTTTGCATGGTACCCTCTGTACCCTCAACCCATCTCTCACCTCCTAAGAGACATTACCATAAGCCCATTTCCCCATTTCCGTGCAGTCATCTTTTGCATATACTACTCCCTCTGCCTGCAACGACCTCTTTCCTCACTTAGTGAAACTAGATTTCTTCTCCAGAAAATGAATCAAAGTTCACCTCTCCATTGTGAAGCCTTCCTCACTTCCCTGTTCACTCCCTTATCTACATTTCTTTGCACTAACGTCTATCACAGCACTTTGAAGTTGTAAATATTTCTGTTTGCTTCTGCAGTGGACTGTGAACCCATGAAGAAAGGTGTTGGTTAAAAAACAATAAAAGGAGTAACACTAACTAACATTTACTTAGCACTTACTAAACAGTAAGCACATGCATTAGTTCAACTAAGCCCCGCAATAAACCTATGAGTTGGGTGTAATTTTTATTTCCATTTTGCAGATGTAGAAACTGAGGTCTGGAAAGATTAACTTGCCTGAAAGGTCATCTAGCTATATCTATAGATGTTTCAGATGTTTATAGTTTTTTTTTTTTTTTTTTTTTTGAGACAGAGTCTCGCTGTCGCCCAGGCTGGAGTGCAGTGGCGTGATCTCGGCTCACTGCAAGCTCCGCCTACTGGGTTCATGCCATTCTCCTGCCTCAGCCTCCTGAGTAGCTGGGACTACAGGCGCCCGCCACCACACCCGGCTAATTTTTTGTATTTTTAGTAGAGATGGGGTTTTACCGTATTAGCCAGATGGTCTCCATCTCCTGACCTCGTGATCTGCCCACCTCAGCCTCCCAAAGTGCTGGGATTACAGGCATGAGCCACCGCACCCGGCCTATAGATGTTTTTAGAAGTCGTGCAAGTAAATGTATTCTCTCAAATAAAATGTATAAAAAGTATAGAAGAGTGGGCATAGGAGTCAATCCTGGCTATGTAAGAATTGGACAAAACATCTCAACACATGTTTATTGAGCAACTACTATGTACCAAGCATAGATACCAGGAACAGTGTGATTAAGTAGTGTAAATATTGAATCCTTCTATTCAAAAACTTAAATTGTTAGCCATTTTGTATAAAAACTTAGGAAGTAAAAATAATTGAATTTTGCCAGTGATGTTTATTTCTTTTACTCACACATACATTGTTTATCTCGAGAAAATATGATTAAATGTTGGCATTTGTTAATTCTGAAATCCTACTACATGGGTATTTGTTAAATTAGTCTCTATGTTTTGCCAAATTAGAAAGTTTTTCAAGTTGAACATACACAGAATACTTACCTGATATTTTATATGTAGTAGATACTAAGTAAATATTTGTCAGTAATAATGAAAATGAAGAGGCAAGCTATTAATACAAAAAATTAACACAGATCAAATGAAAGTTCAGACAACAAAAGCTGCATGAATTTCAGAGTCGTCATGGAACATAAAACACTGTCTGGTGTCTGAAGTACATCTTAGATCAAGTTCCAAACATATCAAAAACATAATGCTTCTGGGTCCTGAAAAATATTCCCAACTAAATAATAACTCCACAAAAAAGTCAAGGATATTAAATTGCTGAATCATTAAACCTGACATGACAATACTATGTATTGTTCCATGGCATGAAAGAATAGTAACGACACCCCCACCAAATCACTCATCTAGTAGATTGCTGATCGCTTCTGCTAGCTCTGAAGTCTTTAGGTGGCCACACTCCATTAAGTCTGATTTCACTCTAATTTTGTGTGTGTGTGTGAGTTTGTGTGTATGTGAGCACACATGCTCACATCTGAATTAGTGTACAAACATGGCCCCAAACTAACTGAGATTGCAACATCCTCACCAAATGCATATGAGACCAGAAGGCTGGCAGGAAGTTGCCCACCCTCCCACATGCACAGACTGAGTGGAGAAGCTCCCGCCCTCACCTGTATATTTCGTCTCTATGGTGCTGTAATTCTGGACTACAAAAAATAAAAGTAAAAATAAGATTTGCCGTGAAACCCCGTCTCTACTAAAAATACAAAAAATTGGCCAGGCGTGGTGGCAGGTGCCTGTAGTCCCAGCTACTCAGGAGGCTGAGGCAGGAGAATGGTGTGAACCCGGGAGGTGGAGCTTGCAGTGAGCCAAGATTGTGCCACCGCACTCCAGCCTGGGCGACACAGCGAGATTCCCTCTCTAAATAAATAAACGAATAAATAAATAAATAAAAATAAGATTTGCTTCTGGTTTTAGATTCGGGAAGGTAACTACGGGTTGATGTAAGTGCGAAAGAGTCATTTAGAATGTTTGTACACATTTGGCAATGTATTACATTATATATACCTATGTGCATATGTATATACTATTCGCATTAGTATATATAATGTATATACAAATGTATAAATAATGTATAAAAATAAAAATCATATGTGTGTGTGTCATATATATATATATATATATATATATATATATATATATATGTATATATATATATGAATGACAGGGTGAAATTAAGCCGACAGAAATGCGGGCAGAAAGAAGAAGGCTAGGGAGGGAGATAATATTTCAACAGCCTCCTAATAATTTTTCTTAGGATTTTTCTCATTCCATCTCCTCATTGGCTCCCCCTACGCATTCCCAACACTGTGCCCCTAAAAGCCAAGGGTTATTATGCATTGCTAAAAGGCTTCTCAGATTGTTTTCATCTCCCAACAAGTCCCCTCCTTCCCACTGAGAACTGCCACTGAAATCCATTCCTTGTAAGGCCACCAGAGTTACCTTTGCATGTCACGCAACCAGCCTGAAATTTTTCACCAAACTTTCCCTGCACAACTCCTCAGAAAGCCCCCAACAACGACCCTTCACAGTTTGGTTTCTGCTCATATTTCAGTCTTGGCCAAAATCCTTGCCCACTCCATTCATAGGTAACTCTGAGGTCCCTGGATGACCCTACAAGGAGATTCAACATTCCTAGGTACTCACAAAAGCAAAAATCTCTTGAAGAAACAAAGCATTCAACCTAGTTGTTGAAGGTCAAATCAGAAATGTGCCTCCCAGTTACTTTCAGATTTAACACTGATATTAGAATACATTTGAGAGGGGTTTTGTACCATGGTTCCATTATTCTTTAGATTCCCCAGAGATCTTAATCTGGTCTTAATGTGAACTTATCAGGATATTTTCCACCTACAACCCTTTTCATATCCTTCTCCCTCTGCTTGAAATGTCCTCCCAGTTCCACAAGCGGGTACACTGGGTCTATGTAGCTTGTACTTACTTTTCCTTGAAGACTCAGCTTAAACATCCCTGATGCTTTGAAGCTTTCCTGAGGTGATCTCTCTTCCCATGAAATTACTGTCATGGCTACCACTTATGACCACTTACTATGAGCCAGGCACTATTCATGTGCTTTGAATGGATTTCTCATTTAACCCTCAATCACATGTTGGGGTAGTGCTATTATTATCTCTACTTCACAGGTTAAAATTTTGAGGCTTAGAGAAGTTAGGTAGCTTGCTCAAAGCCACAGAGCTAGCATATGGTAGAGCCAAAGACAGAAACGATGACCATCTATATCCATGACAATTGGCTTTCCAGCCTCTCTGCCTCTCTGCGGTAGCCCTTGTCTCACTTTGTTGTGACCACTGGTTTAGTTGTCTATTAACATGTGTGTCCCACTAAGTTGCAAATCCCTTGGGTGCAGGATGCATTGAAAATTCATTGTTAGTGTCACACTTCTGGGATCCTGTTGGAGGGATCTGGGTACTTGGAGGAAAGAGGGAAAAGAGAAAAAAAAAAGTTTCTCCAGTAACCCTGGAATCATTGTCAGACCTTGTAATGACGCTTTCCAGGGCTCTCATATTTTCCATGGTAGCCTAACCCAGTTTCTCACTATTCCTCATTCGTGTTCAATTCCACTCCAAGGAAACAGCCTGACCCCATGCCTGAGAGGGCTGTGTGCGTTATGGTACATAAAAAAAGAAGCCTTACAAATAGCAAGTGTTTTGAAAACTCTTTACTATATTCCCATTTTCCCTACCTACCTCCACCCAAAAAAAGCTGGAGTTATGAAACGCATGCTAAATATTGAGCCATTAAACTTAGGGATATTGAGAGAACTGTTTTCTTAAAAGCTTATTTTTTTCTGCTCTCCTTGTTTTGCCCTGAGTGTTTTTAGCAGTTCAAACAGGTTGGGTTGCCCACAAAGAGCAGGGCACAGGTTTTTTCCACCCCGTAGGTTGAGGTATTCATTCCCACTTTAAACCTCTCTAAATTTATGTGCCAGTATTTTCCAAGTAGATGTATTTGTAGATATGTTCAGGATAGAACTGGACATTCACAGTATTGACTGAGACTGGGAGATGACAGCTGGACAAATTCGAGGTTTCGAGCCTCATCCTCAGCCTGACCTTTGGCAGCAATGGAAATGTTTGCACTTTGCAAAGCTTGTTATTCTCTGTGTGTGTGTGATCATGTGAGCATGTGAGTGTGTGTGAGAAAGATAGAGTGATGGGGGAGAGAGAGAGAAAGAGAGAGAGAGAGGGACTTGAGAGAGAGAGAGAGAGAGAGAGAGAGAGAGAGAGAGAGAGAGAGAGAGAGACGGACTTGGCTTTTAAGAATAATATTATAATAATTGCCAGAATGGGTCAGGCCTGGGGCTTCTGGGCTCCTGGGTTCCTGCTGGCCAGAGTATTGGCTCTGAAAGAAATACCACAACATACTATTACATTATTGTCTGAGTTCTTTATGACAGAGTCCCTTATGACACTTCTGTCTTTCTAATCTCTTTTCCCATGTCACCTCTACCTTGGTGACCTAACATGGCTCTACCATTTTTTCTTTCTTATTATTTTTTTGGTGGGTGTGAGTCGAGTTTATTGAGATGTAATTTATTTACCTTATTTTGACAAATGCACCTAGTCCTGTAACTGACACAGCAATTAAGATGCAGAACAGTTTCCTCAGCCGTGAACATCCCTGTCTACCCCTTTGTAGTTAACCACTTCCCCAAACCCCAGGCCCTGGCAACCACTGATCAGTTCTCTGTTCTTATACAGGTTTTAGACTATCTTACAAATGGAATTATACAGTATGTCATCTTTCATTTCTGGCTTCTTTCACATCACAGAGTATGCTGGGGAGGCATGCCTGCTGTTGCATCAATCAGTACTTTATTATTATGATTTTTATTCTGAGTATTATTTCATTGACTGGATGCACTGCAGGATGTTATCTGTATACCAGCTATTTATTCAATAGTTGATTGTTTCTAGATTTTACTGATTATGAATAAAGCTTCTATAAACAACTGTATATAGTTTTTTGTGTGAAATTTTGTGAAAATTTTTCATTTTTCTTGGGTGAATCCTCAGGAGTGAAATTGCTGGGCCATATTGATAAGTGCACATTTAACATTATAAGAAAGTAACAAGTGTTTCCAAAGGCAATCTGCCATTTCTTCGTTCATCTAACAGTTTCAAAAGACTTCAGCAGGCTTCCTGATCATGTCCATTAATGCCAAAAAGCATTGTGTGAAGCAACGTATTAAGGATATGAGTATAAAATGGGTCAGACTGCTTAAGATCCCAGTCCAGCGGCTGCAGGAACAGTAGATGAACTATTACCATTTTCCAGGGTTTTTAGGCATCCTTTGTCAGGAAATTATCACCAAAAAAGGTTAACTCACCTCCCCTAGATGACTCTGTTCCCAGGTTGTGAATAAGTCATTCTGGCTCACGGGAGAACCAGGCCTATTATTAGCACCCATTTCTCCATTTTTAGGAGGAGACGGTAAAGCCTGAGGAGTTTAAGAATGGCCTGGAGTTTAGATGTTCTAATACCTGATTCCTACTGTGACAGTGACTCACTGGATGACTCTGGTATACCAACCCGATGCTCCGAGATTTCGTTTCCTGAAGTCTGAGATAGGATTGCTCTGTTGACTCAACTCATTGCTTGGGGAAAAGAGATTACAAATAGGAAGAGTGTCACACAGGGGCGTTGATGCTGGCAGTCTCACGGCATCATGGGCCTGGACACCTTTTTCTCAAGAATGAGAAAGACCATTATTATCCCATTCCCTAGATGGAGACTCTCTCATAAAGAGAGATCACATGCCTGACCCTGTGAGACACAGTGAGTCAGAAGAGTTTAAAGAGTTCTCAAGACTCCCAACACTCTTTCTGAAGGTGTCCACTGACTCACTAAATCCCTTCCTTCTAGAATAATTTTACAAGCTGAAAACATGGTTGGGCATATAACTTGGCCCTTGGCCCTTCTCAAAGATGTTAATAGCTGAACTCATCTCCAAAATGGGCATCTTACTTTCAGGCGGCCCTTTCCACACAGCAGAATTCTTTAATAAACTGGTCCAGGCTGACCTTTAAAGGATGAATAGGGGATCCCAAGGCATATCTACAGCAGACACTGCATACCTACAGGTTCTTGATTTTTCTTACCACTGCTGGGCATGCCAGCCTGATTTCCCATGTCCATAACCTGCATTTTTTTTTTTCTTCCCTGTTTTTTCTTTTGTTTGCTTGTTTTCTTTTTTTAGCACACACCACTTTGGGGATAACACCTTCATCTTTGTCATGAGACATTCCCTAGGCTCAGAACCCATATTGCCCTGTGCATTGCCAATGGCTGTGTCTGTGAATTCACATCCTACCAGGGCAGCCCTAGCCAATGACTGGGCATTGGGTCTTCTGGCTGAGATAATATTGAGGTGTCTGTTTTGCATTGTTTTGTAGAGTTTCTCCCCGGACTTTTGTCACTTTTATGGAAAGCGCCTTAATAATACACCATTTCTTGCCTGCTTTTTCTCCCCACATCAATTCCTCCCTTCACCCACCCAAGCTCCTGGTACTGTTCAAATAAACTACCTGCTCTCAAACCTTTGCCTTGGGTCTGGTTCTGGGGAATCTAAACTAAGACAGTCATCCACATTTTGCATTTTCATATATGTGCACATTTTTTTCTGAGGACATCACAGACTTTCTCGAATTCTAAAAGGAGTCTGTAACTCCCTTACAATGATTAAGAACACTGCTAAGACATTCTTTTACTCCTTTGGAAATCTCTTCTCCCTCTGTCCTTGCTATTTACTTCTTCCACAGATCTCTCAGTGCTACCCTCTTGCTGTTAAATCTACTGGAATGAATCAAATGAATCTTAAATTTATGCACATTAATATTTAGCTAATAACTGTTAATTACTTACATAATAACTAAGGGCATATATGTCCCAGGGACGTTTTGACTTGAAACAATATTGAAGCACAAAGTAGAAAACATAGGTTTTGTATCTACAAGGAATCCAAGTAATTCTGGATACCTTAGGGGAAAATTTTAGTCAAAGCATTAAAGGAAAAGAGTCAAGTTGATTGTTGAGCGTTCTTCTAATAAAACATTGCTTCATGTGTTTTCATCACATAGATGGGGCTCTGGCAATTGAATTTATATATGAACACAAAATGTGACATGCACACCAAAGACAATTATAAAACTTATAAGCATGTAGGACAGACACAATTGCTTTTAACTGTCTATAAAAAGTAAAGGTGTGTCCCTTTCTAGAAAAGGTTTGTAGCTCACGATGTCATTCAAATAGTTTTACTCACTGACTATATAACCTGGGATTCTCTTAGTGGTACCTTGCCCTCAAGTTATTTCTAAGGTACTGACCACACACACACACACACACAGTTTTTAAACCAAATGCACAATGTTCTTTCATATCCAGTATCGACATCAAGGAATATCAAACATAACGGCTGACAGTCTGAGGCTTACTGTCTGCTTTCAAAGAGCTGCCAAAACATTCAAAAGAAAACACTCCAATTCACAGCAGGGCTCGTTGTCAGTTTACCTGATCTGAAATTCAACACTATCATAACTCCTAACATTCTCACTTACTTGCCTTAGGAAAATGGGGGGAAAAAGTAATTTTCCTCAGTAGAAGACTACCGTCTGTTTGACAAAGCTTGCGTTTGATCTTCACACATCTACCCGCGCCAACAAACACAGATCAAATTCTGCTTCTGTGACAGGAGGAAGAAATATAACCTCGCAGCTTACTAAAGAAATGGTATGAATGTGGCCATTCCAATGCAAGTATTGTCAGATGGCAGCACTGGCTTGTGAATAGAATCCAGTCACTGCAAGTGAGCAGGAGGTGTGTGTGCCCATCATTTCCACTGTACACAAAGGAGAAATGTCTATGCTTAACAGCACTCACTTCCTTCAGGCACAATTGACAATCAGGCCTCCCCTGGCAAGCTAACAAAAACTATGTTTTCAGCTGAATGAGCTAGAATTCCTTGTTCACTCACTGGTAGCCATGTGGATGCTTAGAAGGATGCATCCATTCTTAGAGGTACCATCTTTTGCTTCGCAAACATTGAGAATTCAGTGGTTATAATTCAAACAGATGTAATTTTCCATATTAAAAAAAAAAGGCCCATTCAAGCTTCCCAGCCAACTAAGTAAGATTTTGTGCTAATTCAGATGCAGCTCTTGTAGTTCTGAATAAACAATTGAAGTAAATTGTGGGGCTTGGGATTTTGTAAAGACAAAGGACTTTAAAAAAAAATAACTTTATTCAAAAATGTTCTCTTTCTCTTTCCTTCACTTATTCCTTCCTCCCTTGTTCCTCTTTTACTATCTATCTCTACTTTTTGTTAAAGTACAAGATGGACACAGAAAAGATTCTCAGCTTCATTTTTACCAAGTGACCACAGTTGTATAACCAGATCTTAGGTTAAGAACAAAAGATTACCAGCACCAGGAAGCTGCCTTGGGCTACCTTGCAGTCCCTACTTCTTCCACCAAGGGTAACTGCTCTTCTGAACTCTAATTTCCTAAATTCATTTGGCCACTTTTTAAACTGTATAAATGAAATCATACAGATGTACTTTTTGTGTCTAGCTTTTTGTTGTTTTAGTTTGTGCATTCTCATTGCTGTATAGTATTCCTTTGTACACATATACCACAATATGCTACAATTCGTTTACGCATTCTTCTATTTCTGGGTATTTGAGTAATTTCCAGTTTCTGACTATAACAAATAGTGATACTGTAAATCTTGAACAAGTCTTTTGATGACCATCAACCCCCATGTTTTTAGTGACTATATATGCTCAGTAGTAGAATTATTGGGTTTTTTGGCATGTTTAACTTCAGGAGACACAGCCAAATAGGCTGGCAAAGAGCTTGTACACTTGGCGTTTTTCACTTTTACATCTTAGCCATTCAGGTGTGTGTATTATTTTATTTGTAGCAAGGTTTTTGTTTGTTTTAGAGATATATCATGTTCCAAAGCATGTCCTAGGCACAAAGAGCCAGATCCTGATCTTAGAAATTTGATGAGAGACAGAGAAATACAACAATGCATACAATCCACAGTGGTGAGACATATAACAAAGGTAAATATGAAATTCAGTGGAAGCAACAAGGAAGCATTTCTCCAAAGAGGTGACAAAGAATATATAAACTGAATAGATTTATTTTTATTTTATGTGAAGCTTCCTAACTTAGTGTAAATTTCTCATAATGTGAGCTAATAACACAATTTCTTGTTTTGCATATTTAAGAACATGTTACTTAAAGCTTTGCTTACTCCCCCAGTTTATTCTTCATGCATTTTGCAGCAGATTATTTGTTTACCATCTCATCTACTCTTTGACATATTTTTCCTACAGTTATACAGAAGGCATGGAGGGAGAGAAATCCTCCAGCTCAAATAAAAGCAGCCTATCAAGCTTCAGAATTAAACAATGAGTAAGTTTGAAATACATGGAAAGTAAATTTGTTTTGAAGGAAACCAGAAAAAAAAGAATTATGAGATTGCTCTGGAACGATGAGTAGAAGCCAAAGGAGAAAATGAATAAGCAAAGAGAGAAAGGATCAAGGCTCATTTAGAGACCAGCAAAAGGTTGTGCTCACGTTGAGTAATGGTGGGAGAAGTATGCTGAGGCAGACTGGGAGCAGAGGTAACAGGTCTTAATTGCTATCATGGAGAGCTGAGAATTTGTTCTTTAGGTCTTCATGAGGTTAGAGAGGTGTTTGAAAAGCAGAATACCCTAATCAGAGTTTTAAAGTATGATATTTGTAACCACACTAAATCAGCAAGCACAGAAATTACTGGTGGCATTGATATCAAATTTGCCGTGAGGTTGTGCCATTTCTCTGTGTTTCACAGTGACGACTTTACTATCTATGACTGCCTGGGTTCCAATTCTGCCCGCAGCACTTACCGGCTGTGTGACGCTGGGCAAGTCAGCTTCAATTTTGTCAACTGGATGGTAGTAGTTCCAACACTTCCTACTTCCTAGAGCTGACGTGGGGGAAATTACCCAAGCAAAAGCCTCAGCTGCAGCCTGGCAAAACATAAGAGCTCTAAAGGTGTTAATTACGAGGTTAAACAGGAGATAAAAAAAGCACCAGGCTGATGACTTATGCCTTTCCTGTGGAACACCATGGGTGTTTTATGTACAAATGTAGAAAGGTAATCACATTGACATGTTCAAAAACAATCTATGATTCTAACTATGCATTCATGTACTCAACAAATAGGTATCATGAGTGTTCTGTGTACAATATAGAAAGGTAATAAAGTGGATATGCTTAAAAACATTCTAAATTCACATTCATGGATTCAACAAACAGGTGTTAAGGCTCTGACACAGGCAGATCCTGTGCTGGACACCCTAGACGCTAAGAGAAAGAGAATTGCTTCTACTCTGTGGAGCCATTATGCAGTGTGAGTAGTGCTCTAACTGAAGGAAGTGTAGAGGAAGCACCCAATCCGGTTTGGGACAGCCAAGAATGATTTCCTACAGATGACAAGTAAACAGAGATTTGAAGTGTAAGCTAAACAAAGGACACTTATGTGTGGGCATAGCAAAGGATGGAGAAATAATATATGCAATGAGAACAGAATTTATTAGAAGTAGGGATTAAAAGAAGCTATTTGAGCCCATTCCCTCTGGTTGCAGTGGGCTAATCATGTGATAGTAACAGTTCATCTATTACTTCATGCGCCAGATCTTTATTGAGTATCAACTTTGTGCCTAAAAGTGTTTCAAGTACTAGGGATATAGCCATCTATATGAGATGCTCCTGTCATCTTGGAGTTCATATTCTGCTTGTCAAGAAACAATTAGTAAAGAAGAAATGACAGATGTGACAGACACTGCAAAGGGCATAAAACAAGATGGTGTGCTGTGAATGGTTTAGATAGGAGAGATGGAGATGAGAGAGTGTCTCCAAAGACATGACATTGGAGCTGTGGCTTTAAAAGAACAGGGAAAGAATATTCCAAGGAGAAGGAACTGCAAGCCCAAGGCAGTGAGGTGGGTTTGAGCTGGAGGGATGGGTATAACATGAGTTTGGAGATGTAAACAAGAGTCAAGTCACATGGAATCTTGGAGGTCAATGTCAGGTGCAGATTTTATTCCAACTGCAGCGGGGACCTGTTGGGTGGATGGGTAGGAACCTGAAGCAGAGAAGTGTCAAGCCAAAAGGAATATTGTATGGTAAGTGTTATTGGAGCAGGGCAGCAAGGGAAAGAGAAGTCAGCCCAGCAGCCTGAAGAGCCCTTCTAGGTGAAGCCCAATGTCTATACTACACATCAAAGGGTGCAAACACAAGTAACATCTACATTGCCTCCAATTCACTTTGTCAAAGGAGAAGGAGGCCTGTCTTTATCTGGAAAGATACCATATCATCCTAAATACTTTCTAAAAATGCACTGGTTTGCCCATCCCTGAATGAAGATGTATCCACTCAAAAATATCCATTGCTACTTCCTTTAGTCAGCCTCCAGGTTGGAAGCTGAGTGGCTCTATTTTTTAAAAAAAAATCAATCCAAAATAAATAAAAGAATGTAAAATGTTAATCAGAAGTAAACAAAGGGATAGAATAAAGGAGCCAGGCACTACTAGTAACTTTTATTGCTTTTGTTGGGAGCCTAGTGAGGGAATTTTAGATGAAATTCCCCCTTCAGCCTCCAGGAAATAGTGACTTTGTTCAAGTAAAGCAGTTTCCCTTCCCTGTGGCCCTGTGTGGTCCACTGTGATTCAGACCTGGCCTGTTTTCAGCCTGCTAGAAGAGTGTCAGAATAGGTGTGACCCCCTCCCGACCTTTCCTGATTTCTCAGTAGGAAGGAGTCATTCACATGAACTCTTCACGTTATAGGCTCTGGGAAACAGGTATAAGAGGCCCTACTTGGGAACAAGAGTTAGTTTGAAACAGAGATATTTCATCCTGGTGGTCTCTAGCATTGTCCCACACTTGGTTCACATGATTTATGTCAGTAGAATCTCCAACTGCCCAGGAGTGTGAATTTCACAGGGATTGCCAGGAGATGGGAATCACTGACAAAAAAGTGGGTTCATTTTATTTCCCTGGATTTTTTATCACAGACCTTTGGCCATTCAGAGGAAGCAAATAATTCCTAACTTGAGGATCTATTAAAATGGCGGTATCACTGAAGATAAAATGTGGATCAACCAAAATTTCAATCTTAAAGTACATACCCTTCCACCTATGTTGGTTACTTCCAATACAGAACTCAGTAGCAGACATCTGGCACATTTAGTTACCACCTATGAGCACCCTACCTAGCAATACCAAGCTGTCTGTCTTAGTCTCTCAGCCTAATTCTGGAAACCCACCATCCCCTGCTCATTGAGGCTTGCAAACAAGTTTAAGCATTCGATTAAACAAAAGACAATTTTTATTGAAAAAAATGCAATAAATTTGACAGTCAAAGATGACTAGAGATATAGAATAACTTCACTGCTCCTCTCCTCATTGACCTGGCTTAACAGTTGTTTTTATTTCTTCCCAGGAACCAAAGCTCTGGAAACATCTATTCAATTTTTAAAGCACATTCATTTTTTCAACATGAATGTTGATCCAGTTAAGATTGTCTTCTCAGTGATGTTTTTCTCTTTAGAAAGATGATTTTTTCCCCCTACTAAGATCTCAGGTCAGGGCCTATACCCAAAGTAATCATAGAGTTGTTGTTTTTTTTTTTCCTGTCTCCAACATGTTATCATTTTTCTGTTCCATGGAAGTGATGTATTTGGAGCTGTGAAATACTTATCAACATCATAGCACCTGACATTCTTATCTTAATGATTAAAATTAGTCAGTTCTTAGAGGAATAAATTCCATACTCATTGCTCAGAAGCAAGCTTCCTTAGTTGATTAAAAAATTTCAACTGTGATGATAGGAATTGTAAATTTGATTTTGTGCTAAGAACGTGATTATCAAAATCATTTCTAAGTAACGTCAAGGTAGAAAAGCAAGACTTCTGTTTTCTTCTGTGACTTCTAATATTTTAATTTATATCTCTCTATTTTTTAGCAAGTTTGCATTTTTACTCCAATATTCTTTTTTATTTTTGTCTCATATTCAGAGATACTAGATCATCAAACTAAATATAATCAAAATTGAATTATAAAGAACAAAAATGTGATTCATACATAATCTATAATAAGGTTGTTATGAGAAGAGCTCAGAAACTTACCAGCTCTGCAGTTCCCAGTACTACATAACAATATCTACTCTTACTGTTATTAAAGCATTAGGTAAAGTTTCTCCCCTCCATAGTTTTCATCTTCCAAAAGAATCCACCACCAAGAAAAACCAAATGCTTCATTTTTTGAAGCTTCCCCTGTTGGTTAACAGGTATTGATAGCTGATGATATAAGACTGGAATATCCTTTAGAGATTTCATTGTTTATTTTTAGTTAAGGATTGAATACATGTTTTTTTTTTTCCTCTAAGAATATATGTTTGATATGATCTCTAAAACCTGAAAAGTTGCTGGTTATTTTTTAAAAGCAATTGAAATGTATCATTGATAATGTGATGTCTCATAGGACCTGATGTGTGCCAGTAGATTTTGGACACACAAAGCCATTTATTTATTTATGCATTTATATGCTCAAACCACTCTTAGAAGGGAATAAATGAGAGGAGGCGTTTACAATTGAAACTCTGGTATATTGACTTCAACCAATGGTTTTAAGTCAAGTTATTTATATTCTTACAGAGAAAGTCTTCATGTCTACTACTTCTAAGTATTGGCTAAATTAAGCTATTCTTCATTTATGAACAATCCTGCATTCATTCATGTAATCATAAAATATTAGAGCTAGAAAAAAATAAACTCAGTTTAACTTAATCCTAGTCTTTCATTTTATAATTGACAAAATTGAGAGGTGGGGACGATGAATGACTTTCTTACAGTCTTCATTACTTACTTATTCGTTCTATATCTTACAAAAGGACTTAAGGTAATTTACAGATATACTATGAGAGAGAGAACAGAAAATAAAATAGGATCGAAACGGTGGCTAAATTTGGCCACAAATATAGTCCTGGGTGTCCAAGTGGCAAAAGCTGAATGTAATCTTCACAAAATCCAAGGTGCCTCTGAGCTACCTCAGATCAATTACTTAAGTAAAACATAGAGTCCCTGTAGAGAGGGCTGAGAACAATGCTTCTTCAATCTACTACATTCTTAATTAGAAAGGAAGTTACTAATTCTCAACCTGATTGTATTTTCTCCATGCCTCTGACATCAGTTTTTAATCATATATGAGAAGCATGACTTAAAACACCCCTCCAATTTCTTACAATTTCTCTTCCTTTAGAATGAATTGTACTGTTATTTTTTTCTCCCTTATGGCATTCTTGCCTGTTTTTGTTAGCACTCTTTATGTACCTGCATCACATTGCTTCAACCAGCCAGTGCTCTATGAAATCAGGGAACAGCTTTCTAGTGTTCATGGCCTTGGCAGAGTATCCACAAATAGTAATTGTCAAAAACTGCTAAACAGAGGGAGGCCGAGGCAGGCGGATCACGAGGTCAGGAAATCCAGACCATCCTGGCCAACATGGTGAAACCCCGGCTCTACTAAAAATACAAAAATTAGCTGGGTGTGGTGGCGGGCGCCTGTAATCCCATCTACTTGGGAGGCTGAGGCACGAGAATCGCTTGAACCCAGGAAGCGGAGGCTGCAGTGAGCCAAGATTTCTCCACTGCACTCCAGCCTGGCAACAGAGTGAGACTCCATTAAAAAAAAAAAAATGTTAAACAGAGAAAGAAAATAATAAGAATATTGTTGTGTGTTCTTCTCATGTATCTATGAGTCACTTGACTAAAAGATGCTGACGTACAATTGTGTTTTATCAACAATGTTTCTTGTGCTTAAAAGCATATGAATATAATAATTGTTTATTTCAAATGTCCAAATACAAGAAGAAAATTCTTGACTTATTTTCAAAGGTAAACTTTAAGGGGAATTTATTTTTGTTTTGTTTTCTTCCAAAGGCTTGAAACAAAATGTTTCAACATCTTTTGAGCAGTTATTTTATGCCAGGCACAATTCTAAGCTCTTTGCACATCCGGACTCATTTAATGGCTGCGTGTTTATAAAGCTTCATCCAGTGTCCCCCTTGCTTTCCCACAAAACTGCCCAGAGATTAACAAAACACTTTGTCTGCTCTCTTACACACTCTGCTTTCTGATGCTTTAAACTGTTCTCCATATTTTTCCTTTTCCTTACTACTACCTGCACCATTTGCTGATGGGACACTGCCAATATTTAAGCACCTTTGAGTGAATTCTGATGAGAAAAATTTGGCAACTATTTTGCTGACTATGGAGACACATTTGCAGTAACGGTTGGATACCTAGGGTTTCTTCTATAAATGGCAATCAAGATGATGTCTCATTGAAAAGAATTCAGGTAGTTCTGTTCTACTGGAATTTAGAAAGAAACTAAAGATTCACAACAGAAAATGTGTTGCAACGATAATTTGGTATTGCACACATTGATCCATACCATTATATTCACTGAATACAACACAATGACCTAGACCAAGTAGAAGACTGTGCAAGTCATCCCAGCTTTCTAAGGAAAATAAATACCTCTTCAAAGATCATTGAGGTATGAATGTTTAGCTGTCAGGTTGGATTCTGTACACATAGAGGTTATTATCTTGGGAAAATATATTTTTGGATTTTTAAAAATATTCATAATATCATGTAGCAATTACTTATAGAAGGAAATGAAATATTATAATTAAAGTTTTTCAGGCTTTCCTATATACACATAAACATATATATATATATATATATACTATATATGTACACACATACATATATATTGTATCAACTATCTATGGTCACAATAATTCTACATAGCAAATCACACTGGAATTCATGGATTAAAACACGTCTACAGGCTGACAGAGAGTCTGCTGATCTTGATGGCACCTGGCTGAGCAGTTCTGACCTCCACTAGGTTACAGAGGTCACTGCTCCAGGTGACTTTTTTTCCTCCTCCTGTGACCTGTGTGCTGTCCTGGGCATGTTTTTCCTCATGAAAGTGGCAGAGGGGAAAGAGCAAACAGATCCTATCCTGAAAGCACTTTTCAAGGCCCTGCTTACATCATAACTGCTACCAATCCCATGGCAGTGTCAGAGCTCAAGGGTGTAGAATCACTTACACCCCACAATAGGAAGACACTTTGCATGGTGAAAAACATGGATACAGAAAGGGGTAGAGAATTGATACCAACAATGCAGTTTATCATATATATATATATATATTTATTTATTTACATTTATATTTAAGTACACAGGTTTCACTTCATTTCTTTCCAGAAAAAAATCTTTAGACTAATGACAATTTAAAAGTCCCCCCTTCTTTTCCAGTAACAAACGTACTGGCTTTCAGCCTAATAATAATATTGATAATAGCCATCATGTGTTAGAGCTTTTACCAAAAACCAAACACCATGCAAAGAATTTTTTCATTCACCATCGAACTTAATGTTTACAATTTGGAAATATTTGCTTTTACAACACTGAAATGTGAGTGGTATTAATATTATTTTAAAGATCAGAAACGGAGGCTCAACCAGGTGAGCCAAGCAGTGTGAGTGTGTGGAGAAGCCTGGATTCAAACTCAGTTCCATGTAATTCCAAAGCGTGTGTTGTCATTTCTTTGTATTTCTAGGTATCTCCTGCTACACTTAAAAGCCCTCTACCACTGGCCTTGCCACCCTTTCCAACACCATTCATCACTCCTTTCCTTCCTGCCCAATAATCTCTAAACAGGTCCCTTATGATAATGCATCCTTTGTCCACAATACCACATTATTGTCTCCTTCTAACTCTGGACATCCAAATTCTCTCTATGCTATGAGGCTTACTTCAAATCCTGTCCAGAAGGCCTGTCATCATTTTCTCACTTGGGTTTTAGGAAGTCTGCCAGTTGGCACGTCTTCAAGAAAAGGAGGCAAATCTTTATATTCTTTCCTAGCACCTACCTTACAACCAGTCATTTTTTAGATAAATTAATAGATATCAATTTTTCCTTCCAAATTTGAGCTGAACATCAAAAATTCATGGAGATGGTACCTGTACTCAGAAGGTAATTTCTTCTTGCACACAAGATCTTTTGAGAATGGGAAGACAATTCCTAGAAAGTTCCTCTGAAGAAGAAATTTTTTACAAATATAGGGTGGTTTTTAACTAAGGGTATGAGAAAAGGGGATGTCTTTATAACCAGAGGCAAAAGAAGTGAATAAAAAGCAGGATGGAGTCCACAGTGGAAGAAGGGAGTGAAGAGAGAAGGGGAGTGACAAGCTGCAATAGATGGAATGTACATGTGCCCTCCAAATTCATATGTTGAAATCCTAACTCAATATGATGGTATTGGGAGGTGAGGCCTTTCAGAGGACATTAAGTCATAAAGATAGAGCCCTCATGAATGGGATTAGTGTCTTTATAAAAGAGACCCCAAAGAGATCCCTTGCTCCCTTTCTACCATGTGAGGATAAAAAGAGAAGACAGTCTTCAACTTGAAAGAGGTCCCTCACCAGAACCTGACCACATAAGCACTGTGATCTCAGACTTCCAGCTCCAGAACTCTGAGAAATATGTTTCTGTTGTTCGCAAGCCCCTATCTATGGTATTTCTTATAACTAAGACAGAAGTCCAGACAGAAGAAGAAGGAAGTTGGGGGCAGAGAATGATAAGGAGGAAAATAACAAGCAAGTAAGAAGTAAAGAATCAGAAGAGAGATCACAATGAGAGCAACATGGAGCCAGGACATTGAAAATCAGTCATTTGGCACTGATCCCAGAGAGGGCAAAAGTTGACAATCTTATTATTTCAGTGTCTGGGTAGGTCTTCTAATGAATGCTAGAAATCGTACAGGTGTGGTTATGATCCTGATTGCAGCGAACACTTGCCCAACTCTGAAACAGGACTTTTGCCTAAGTGTAAATAGCTTCTGTTTAATACATTTCATTCTTTAAATACATTTTTTAATCTAATCAAAAGAAGAAAAATACCACTTAGCAATCATTGAGCTAGTAAATAACGTATGTTATCTCATCTTTTCCAAGCTTCTTTGCCAGTGTCAGAGAGGATTCATGGTTTTTGAAAAATCATCAAACACTCTAGTACCGAAGCTAATCTGAAGTGCCCAGAGGCAGGATGTGTCCGAACAGTCCACAAAAGACCTCGTATAAAATTTAATGCATCTTGAGGATGGAGTGTCTTCTCTGGACTCTGGTTGAAATTCCACGCTCTCCAACAGCAATAATCTCCTTCCTTCCTTGGCTGTTTCAATCTTCATATACTTTTAGGTAGAAATACTTCCCTTGGAATTTTCCAGGACTTTCATAGTCTTCCTGAATGTTTTCTAAGGTTATTGCTGGGAGTTAAGATGCTCAGAAGGCCAAGAGGATTTGACTTATTTAATCAGTGTACTCAAACCCAACAGCATTCAACTGGCTCTTGGAATTTTGGCCAGGTCAACTACTCCCCTACTGTAACAAGGCACCAAATTCGAAGATGGTATTCCAAATTAGTCCTCACCAGGTTCCCTTTTTTGTTGTTAAATGTGAAATGGAGATTTTCCTCCTGCTGCTAAAAGCAAACCAAGCTCCTTTCCACCCAAATATCATGTTGCAAACTCCTATGAAATTTGCCCTCTGTCATATCCCTCTTTTTCTTGGCCTCACTAATTTCCAGGTTCTGAACTCCCATGGAATATCTGTGTTTCTCATTAATTTCCACAGATGTATTTCCCTTTTCTCTAAGTGGAATCTTGGCATCTTGAGGCTGGTCTAGATTTCTAGCCTACACTCCTTTTGTAAGTTTCTGCAGTCTTCGTGTTGTACATTCTCTTTCGCCTCATTTCATCACTCTCAGGTAATGAACTTGGTCCAATGAGGCAGGGTGAAGTTGAGCTCCATCAGCAGCATATGTTGTCCCTTACTCACTGGCTTGGCTTCCTACTGTTCATCACATCTTGAGTCATTTGTAGATGGACCAGCCTTTCCCCTGAAAGGTTACATCAGCGGCAGTCCTTGAAGTACTCATGCTAATGGGCTCTGGTTTTGAATTCTGGCATACCAGAAACAACATATTCCTTGAGCACACTCAGGTTAGCTATTTCATTCAGGTACCATAGGGCACAACATTCTGCTAACCAGAGTTGAAAAGCAGACATTGCATTCCTTTCACAGCTTCAAGCTGGAAGAGAATTTTTCCATCCCCTCACAAAACCCATGAAACATCCCACTCTGTGGGTCTATTATAACCCCTCTTAGAACAAATTGGCTTAATAGAATTTCCTAAGTGGTCCCGTGAGCTATTTCACGATTGTATGCAAAAAGGATTCCACGTCAAAGAAGATGGAGATAAATTTCATACTATGTGTCCCTCTTGGAGGACATACACATAGTTACTAAATTTTCTAAGAAGATAAGAAATATAGAAAAACATTTTACTTTGTTCAAACCAAAGTTTTCTAAACATATTTTTAATGACTCGTTCAAGCTTGATACCTATCATAAATACACAGGACAGAGATGAATAATGAGTGAGTCTCTAGGCTTTCCTTGTCTGTCTGCTTGCCCATGAGGATTTTTGAGTTTCCCACTCAGTTTATTTCACTTCTCCTATCTTTGCAGTTGCCTTATGTGTTCTTTTAGGCATATGGACTGGAAAAATAGAAGTGTCTTACAAGAAACTCAAAGGATTGAGCTTCATGGAACACTATGTGTTTCAAAGATGGCTGCACCAATAGATGCCATCCCACATGTTCTTCTTCCACTGTGACCTGCAATGAGAGATGGATCTATGTTCCCTTCCTGGAATCTGGACAGCCTTTTTTGCCACTGTGACTAATTGACTATCACTGAAGTAATGTTACGTGTTTTCTGAAGCTAGGTCATAGGAAGCAACACAGCACTCAGTTGGCCCTTGCTCTCTCTGTCAGGATGCTCACAGCCTCCATGTTGTGAGGAAGCCCAGGCCACCTGGAAAGGTTACGTGTAATTTTCTGGCCAAAAGCATTAGCTGGGATCTGCTAATGGCTAGTACCAACTGCCAGACAGGTAATGAGGAAGACTTTAGATGGTTCAAGGACCCCCTCGCTGCACTTTGCTAGTTAATGCTGAGTGGAACATAGATAAGCCATTTCCATGGAGTCTTCCCAATTATAAAATCATAAACAAAACAAGTGTTGTCATTGTTTTAAGCCACTAAGGTTCTGGGTAATTTGTTATGCAGCCATAGTAACTGGAACAGGCTGGGAAAGTCTTGAAGCAGAAGAGATGGGTCAACATGATTTGGCATTTTGATGATGGCAATTACCAATCAATAACAAATGACTGCTAACAAGAGAACAATTCTTTTTAAAATTTACAGTGCCCACATGTAATACCTAGAATACTAGTTTTCTTTTTGCTTATCAAGAAAAACCACTTAACATTTATAATATTTCTTCTTGGCACACAGTTTATTCATTAGTTTCATTAATTCCAGAGGGACTGTGGGATGAACATCCAAGATTTCCCTTGGCTGGCTCCCTTTCCTCTTCAGAATTAGTTCAACTATCATCTCTAGAAAGAAGCCCTCCCTCTCTCCTGTGCAATGATTTTGCATCTATACCCTTCCTAGTATTCACCATTATATGAATTGTTTCACTGACTTGATTACTTGCTTATTGGTTGCCTCTTCCCACTAGAATGGATATTTTTTACTTGTGTTATGCACCACTGTATTTTCAATGCGGTGCCTGAATTGAATGGGTATTTATTGAATGAATGGATAATAATAAAGGGAAACCTCAAGGTCCTGGTCCTGGTAGGTAAAATATTGGCTTCTGGAGCTGGTTAGTAGCTATATATGTATAGAGCAAGCCCTCTGTACTCTGTACCTGATCCACAGTGTAGGTGGTAGACAAATGACCCTGCCTGCACGAACTCTCCATGGTTCGAGCTGTTGAGGAACTCATGGGGCCTGATGTTCATCTTCAGCAAATCCTTATACTACTTAAGGTGATTTTCACTACAGAAATTGCATTTAATCATTATAAGATCTAGGTTATAGTTTCATCTGATAAAAAATTTGTTTTTGGAACGTTTGGTCCTGGCAGACACACCTTCGTTCCCAGCCTAGTCTATCTGTTCCAGACAGTGCCCAAACAGACAAGCTGGGGTGAGTATGACTAGACTCTGCCCATGGTGCTTTGTAACTCCTTTTGCAAAGAAAGTATTAGAGGCACAATAATAATATAACTTATTATCCAAACTAGGACAAGTTTGAGAGGAAAACGGGGTTCCGTTAACGACTGCATTCAGGAAAACAGCCCTAAATCAGGATTGCCCCAGGAAAACCAGGGTGTTTGGACATTCTTTATTCTCTAAATCTTAGGTAATGCCAAGGAATAAAAAAGATATATACCCCTTAATTAATTTTTTAGCATTGGTGATATGAAAAGCCACCAATATTTTGGTGTCTAACATGCATTTCATGAATAAAAAGGTTTTGATAATATTTTCATTTTTGCGGTTTTCTTTATTTTCACAATGTCTTTTTGATACAACATATAATAGTCAGGCCCTGGGCAGGAAATAGAATTTCCCTGGAAAGAGAAGATAAATAATAGAAGAAGAAGATAAATAATAAAAGAAGATAAATAATAATGAGGCTATGCAGAGAGAAGAGGGTAGGACTTTTCCTCATATATATACATGGTTCACTGATATATTTAATTAATGAACTTCATTTTTAAAGTAGTTCTAGGTCTATAGAGATGTTAAGCTGAAAGTATAGAGTTCCCATATGCCTCCCATGCCTTTCACAGTTGCCCCTATTATTAATATCTTGCTTTGGTGTGGTACCTTTCTTACGATTGATGAACTAGTATCAATACATTATTATTAATGAATGTCCAGGGTTTCCATTAGGGTTCAGCCTTTGTGTTGTACATTCTATGGGTTTGGAAGGATGCAGAGTGCCTTGTATCCACCATTGCAGTATCATACAGAATAGTTTACTGCTCTATAAGGTTCTTCTGTGCTCCACCTATTCTGCCTTTCCTCTCTCCTCACATCTCTGGCAACCACTCATCTTTTTCCTGTCTCTGTAGTTTTGCCTTTCAACTATGTCATATAGTTGGAATCATAGAGTATTCAGCCTTTCTGGACTGGCTTCTTTCACTTATCACTATGCATTTAAGGTCCTTCCATGTCTTCTCATGGCTTGACAGCTCATTTATTTTTATCTCTGACTAATATCCCATTGTTGAATGACCACAGCTTGTTTATCCATTCATCTACTGAAGGACATCTTGGTTGCTTCCAGTTTGGGGTAATTATGAATAAAGCTGCTATAAATATCTGGGTGGAGTTTTTGTGCAGATATAAGATTTTATCTCATTTGAGTTAATACCAAGGAGCACAATTGCTAGATTGTATAGTAAAATGAAGTTTAGCTTTGTAAGAAATTGCCACACTGACTTCCAAAGTGGCTGTACCATTTTGCATCTCCACCAGCAATGAATGAGGGTTCCTGTTGCTTTATGAGATATTGATAGTTTTTTTATTTATTGTATTTTATTTATTAAACCTTAACTTCTGGGTTATGTGTGCAGAACGTGCAGTTTTGTGACAAGATATACACGTGCCCTGGTGGTTTGCTGCACCCATCAACCAGTCACCTACATTAGGTATTTCTCCTAATGTTATCCCTCCCCATAGTTTTAATGGAACTGATAAAAGATGTTGAGGAACTCTGAGTCCAGCAACAGCTAGAGGCCTTTTCCAATTGACCTGAAAGACAAAAAAATAAAAATAGGGTTGACAGAGCCAGAAAAAACTGGAACCGCAAAGAAGTTTCCACCAAGCAGAAGCTGTAATCATGGACACCGGTAGCCACTACCAGGCAAGAGGTGCCAAGGCTGGGTAAGGGCAGGAGAATAAGTATTCTGAGTCCTTTCTACTCTTTCTCTCTGTTCCCCTGCCAGCACCTCGCATTAGCTCAGCCAGGTAGAAGCTAAAGAACAAGAGAATTCACATGCTGTAATCAGTAAGGGTCCATCCCCAGGGACACAGAACAAGGCAGAGAAGGATGGCTGATGGATCTGAGAGGTGAGGGGGAGGTGAGGAGAGAGTACCTCTCTCAAACATTACAAAATTATGATCAAGATAGTATAATAAGCAACAGTAAGTGCAGTTTCATAACCATTTTTTGAAGAGTTTTTAAATGATACATTACCATTTTTTAGTAGAATGTGCTATTGAGTCATTCTGTAATATTTAGAAAGATAGAATCTAGACCTGCAAATACTAGCGAAGTGGAGGGGCAGTACCTCTCTCCAGGATTACCTGTCCTTCCTTCTTACCTTAACCACTCCAGGCAGGTGGGTGTCTATTCTACTTCAGAAGAATTTTAGGGATGAGGAAGACTTATCCTCATCTACCTGTTACAATGCTTAATGATACAGCCTTTGCATGATTATTTCCAAGGGAAACTTAACTGAAACTCAATGTCTGTTCTCTGAATATAAATAAAGGTTTTATGATGGGCAACGTGGTTGTCTATTGCTTGTCAGCTTCTCTTGTCTTAAAACTTTATACTCAATCAAGTAAAGAATTTTATTATGAATGTGAAAACCAAAAACAATATTTATTGTCCTTGTTTTTTGATGTTTAGTTTACAAAGTCCTCCAGGTCACAGGGCCACACAGGGAGTAGGGGGTCACCTCTTGTCCTTGTTCAGGGTTTTTCATCCTCAGCACTATCGACATTTTGAGCTGGATAATTCTTTGTTGTCAAGAGCTGTCCTGTGCATTTGGAGGATGTTTAGTAGTGTCCCTGGGCTCTACCCATTAGATGCCAGCATTCTCCTCTGTAACTATGACAATCAAAAATGTCCCCAGACATTGTCAAATGTCCTCCAGAGGCAAAATCTCTACCTGCTCCCACCCACTGTTGAGAACTACTGCCCTAGTCTAAGGGAGGCACTAGCTTCTGCCTGTGCCATCGTCATAGTAACTCAACAGTAACCTCCATTACTTGACATAGACATGGTCCTGTTTTATGTAACCAAAAGATTTACAAACTGGATATAAACTTATTGTTACAAAATGTCATCTTCCAGAAAATTCTGGGGGGAGGAGATGTCTTTTCTGATCTAAACCAGCTTTCTTACTTCTCTTACCCTTTTGCTCATACTCACATGGTTTCCTGTTTGATTCTAGCTCTACTTAGAATCTCAGTATCCTTTGTGGCCAAATTGGGGAGGTCATTGATGATACATAGGACTGTGGTAGAATTTCAAATGGCAGTTGGAGTAGAAGATTTGGGAGCTATGGGATTTCTATGCTGCATACAATTATCAAAAACAAAACCAAAAAAAAAAAAAAAGTGGAAGTGCCAACTTATACTTTCTCCAGATCACAAGTTATCAAAATGCTAGCCCTGTATAATTTACCATATTTATCCAATGGCCCTTGTTCTTGTTTACATCTAAAATATAGCAGTTTCTCTCTTTTCAGTCTTTATCTTCCTTCAAGTGTTTCAGAGGAAACATCTTCAAACTACCCAACTCATTTTACATTAGAGACAGTTTCATTTATTTATTTATTTATTTCCTGCCTTATTCCAAAAAAGGTTTTGAGGAGGATGAAGACATTGAATGGCATGGGTCAGTGAGAAAGAAACTGAAAACGACATTCCCCAATTCAACACTATTTTCTGAAACAATGTCAAGCCCTTACAAGGATGGGAAAATAACAAAGTCACATACCGTGAAAGTCAAGGATTCTCTCTTAGGGAATAAGTGTCCTCTAGCTACTGTCCTCCCAGTACATTTGTGAGCTTAGCAGTTTGGAATGTCAACAAGAAGGGTGATTAGGGGCAGAGGCCTGCAAGAGGCTTCATGGCCCACCCGTTGATCAATGGAAGGAAGCTGTTTAGAGAGAGTGCAGACTAACCACTTTAAATTACTGTGAAAGATATTTATCTTCCCCAGTCATGAGAGGAATTATAACCAAGAATCCCGGGCAGGCAGATCTTCTGAAAACAATACCCTACAGTGAAGGGGCTGAAAATCTGTTCAATAAATGGCAAGACCCTGAATTGATTGTCTTTTAACTCCTCTCACTAATCACTCTTCCAAATGTTCAGTCCAAATGTTCAGTCCAGGGAGATTCAATTGATCACTTTATTTACAATAGTCTTCAAGACCAAATCTGGGCTTGAATTTTTCTGTGTTGACTCAGAATTTAGAAAGAAAGAGAGACAGACAGAGAGAGAGAGAGAGGAAAAAATGAAGGGAGGAAGGGAGGAAGAGAGGCAGGAAGGGAAGAAGAGATGGAGGGACGGAGGGAGGGAGGAGGAAAGAAGGAAGGAAGGAAGGAAGGAAGGAAGGAAGGAAGGAAGGAAGGAAGGAAATAAACAGTATGTAATGGATCTAGTTAGGGTTACTTAGTCTGGTAGGGTCTTTAAAAAGAGGAAGTAGAGTGTTGGGACCCAGCTTTTGAGTGGAAGTTCAGTCCTCAGGGAATGTTTTGAGCTCACCAGAGCACACACCATTGGAAACCATTGTTGCAGTTGTACAGGACACCCTTAGTTATTAGTGTTGTTCAGAAAGGTCTGAAGGAGCAGACCTGTAAAATCACAGGCACCCACTCTGCAGAGTCAGCAGAGAACAGAGGCCTTGGAGCAGCCTGTGTTGCTGTGACTCAGTCACCGTGGCTGGAAACAGAAATGGAAGTAAAAGCAAGACTCTGATAGACCAAAGACATGGAGAATGTGGAGATCAGTTTGGTTAATCTAGAGCAACAGCAGAAATACAAATAAGCAAAAAAAAAAAAAAAATAGAGAAAATGAATTTTAACAATATATTTTATTTAACTCAATATATCCAAAATAATACTACTTCAACATGTAATCAATATGAAATAATAAGATAATTTACATTTTCAATACTAACTCTTGGAAATCTGATGTATATTTGACACCACATGTAACTCACAACACATGTAGCTATTGACTACCATACTAGACAGTGCAAGTCTAAAGATATCATATACAAGTTTCAATCTCTCAGTAGCCTAGGGCTTCAGGATGTGCCACAGCATATCAGTGAAGTGACTCCATCGACATGACTTGAAAATGAGGTACAGCTGCACATAACAACAGTAAGAGAGCTGAATCCAGTCCCTGGGGCCAGTTAGTTGTGTGACCTTGTGCAAGTCTCTTGAGTTATTCTTCTCATCTCTTAACTGAGGCAGCTGTGCTAGTTGATCTCCAAAGTGCACTTAAACTTTAAAATTTCTAAGATATATGGGTTGTAAAAGACACTTGTGGTTTTAAAAATATGTCACATTTGTTTTTGATATTTGTTCCCACAAGAGGTGGAGCCTAATTCCCTACCCCTTCAGTATGGGTTGGACTTAGTGACATGCTTCTAACAAATAGAATATGGCATAAGTTATAGATTAGAGTATAAAAGATTTTGTCTTTTGCTTACATTTTTTTTCTCTCTCTATCTCTCTCTTTCTCTCTAGTCCCTGGAGCAAGCCATCTGTTATGTCATGAGGACATTTAGACAGTCTGTGTAGAGGCCCACATGGTGAGGAACTGAGGCCTGACAGCATCCTTGTGGGTGAGCTTGGAAATGGATCATCCTCCAGTTGAGCCTGAAATTGACTGAACCAAGCCAACCACTTGACTGCAACCTCATGAAAGACCCATAGCCAGAACCTCCCAGCTAAGCTACTCAGAAATTTCTGACCTGCAAAAACTGGAGATAATAAATGTTTGTTGTTGTAAGCTGCTAAATTTGGAGAAATTTGTTACATAGCAAGAGCTAACTGATACACTCCTGGAGTACAAAAAGCAAGCTGAATGAACTAAGAAACTGGTTGGCTACAAGCAGGACAGCACAAAGCTATCCTTTCCATTACGCACGGGGACTTCCAGGAAGTAGCAGTGATAAACAGGCCCACCATGTGTAAGAAGTAACATTAACTGAGTATTTTGGCATGCTGGGCACTGCTCCAGGCGCTTCATAGAGCTTAATGTATTTAATCCTTTTCATGACTCATGAGATGGGCAGTACTCACACCTCCATTTCACAGATAAGAAAACATTAGCACGGAGACGTTAAGTAATTTTCCCAAGATTATACGGGCCATAAAAGACAAAACTATGATGTGAACACTGATTGTCTTTACTTCTATGCTACAGTGCCTTTTATAGGAAATTAGGTGAATGTTCTTTCTCCCCAAGGCCTAGATCACAGAAGAAATTCATGAACACAGTGAAAAGCCCTGAAATAATGACTTCCCCTGGGAGAAATGTGTGGGTCCCAAGACTTAACTCTCTACAGTCTGGTCATTTGCATGTAGGGGTCCTGGCAGCAGCCACAGTCACATTTTTTGGTTGCTCTGAGATGGGAAGACCATTTGGGGCATTGGTCCAAATTTTCTTAAAAGTAAGAACCTTCCAATATTATAAATGATGATGCAGAAATTAACTGAGGAAAGCTGATGTCTGAATTTGGAGGACTTATTATTTCGGGGAATCCATTTTTCAGGCAGTAACAAGAGGGAGTTGAGATGTTTTCAGGGCATGACATGCAAGGGACAGTGAGCAGAGCTGCCCTTTTAACTAGAAATGAAAAAATGGTGTTAAACCACAACAGATGACCCTGAAGTTCAAGGTTAGCTAGGATTTCCTGTCAGGGAAGACTGTGAAACTTGAGCCTGTGAAGTTTCCTTCCCTGGAATTTCCCCTCTAAGGTTTTCAGGCTATAACAGTGAAAAGGGGGAGGAGTGACCTCTAGCAGAGAGATTAGAAACATGATTTTGGGGTCAGAGCTGATTTGGAGCCCTTTAACTTTGTTTGTCATGTACAAGCTTCTTAAACTCAGTTAGATGACCACCATGCCTGTACTCCAAATTCTTCAAGTGTAAAATGAAGACTTGTAGCATATCTGTATTTTATGGTTACTGTAATGATTTATCCCACAAACTGACCTCAGTGGATTTGATCATTTGCAATTACTAGTTCCTTTTCTATTGATATTGGTAGCTCTCAACAAATAGAGGTAAGCTAAGTCTCTTCTCCCCAACCTTCCCATCAGGTAATATGTAGCAATAAAAGTAATTGTCAGAGATAAATTTCCCCAAATACAAATATTTATTTGCAAGGAGGTACCAAGTGCCAGGAATTCCTTACTTAATTCTCTGTCTAGCTAGATGCTTCCACAGAGCCTTTCCCAGAAGGTACACTTGAGACAGATTAAAAATATATATATTTCCATGCCAAAATTTCACCCAATTCAGGTATTGATGACCTGCTATAAACAGAGTTGGGATTATTTCATATTCCTAGGCTAAAGATGCTATTCAGAAGTTTGCAGACTCTTGGGGTCACCCACCCTGTTCACACAAGGGAGCAGCCCTGTGTAATATTATCCCACAATCCACATGATTTTAACAACCCTGGCTTCATGAATGCAACACCACTCTCTGCACACCATTATGCAAATATACCAGGATTCTGTTATTCACCAAAGATACAGTGAGAGCTAGGGCTTAGAGTAGGGTTTTTAAAGTACAGTGCTATGCTAGTAAAAGGCATCTCAAAATTGTATTGCTTGCTGGTTTTCATTGCATAAGTATTCCCATCATGCTTACTTCAAGCTACTATATTAACATGCCATCTCTGTATACGGAGTTAGAAAGAGTTGTGTACAAGCACCCCTCACAAACCAGTTCAATCTGGCTCTGCATTACCATTAAGTGTGGTCTTATGATTTGAGTTTTCCAAATGTTGACTACCTAGTCCCTAAGAAACATCCTTTGTCAATAGATTTGTGTTAATTATCTCACGTTGCATTAAAAATTATCTTTAACCTGGCAGCTTGTAACAACACACATTCATTGACTCAGTGTTTGTGCTTCAGAAATCTTGACAGGACTTAACTAGGTCCTCTGCCTCAGGGTCTCCTTGAAGACTGTGATCAAGGGGTTGGTCTTTTCTGTGGTCTCATTGGAAAGCTTGACTGGGGAGGGATCGACTTCCAAGCCCAGTCTTAAGGGTGTGGACTGCAGTTCCTGTTGGAAGTTAGCAGGAAGTCACTCACCCTTCCTTGCCATGCAGGCCTCTCTGAATTCATCATCACAGCAAGCATTCAGGAAAAGCCAGAGAGGAAATGGCCAGCAGCAGAAAGAGTGAAAGATGGAAGTCACAGTGTTTTATATTCTAATCTCAAAAGTGACATCCCATCACCTTTGTCACATTCTATTAGTTTGGAAACAAGTCACCAGGGTTAACCCACATGGAGAGGGAGTGGATTACACAAGGGTGTGAATACTAGGAGGTGGAAATCATTAAGAGCTATTTTAGAAGCAGCATACAATGAGCTCCTAGAGTATAGATAAAAATGAATCCCAAGTATATATCACACTGTCTGTGCTGAATATATTTCAAATCAGATTATAAATAGTATTAACTAAGGCAATGCAAGTTGAATATTAAGTCCAGAAAATGTTTAATTACTCTCCCTCCTCCTCCTAAGAAACAGTACTAGGCAAGTCATAAGACATAAAGCTGGTAAAAATATGGCCCCTTGGCCTAATCGAATGAGCTATGCCTCATTTTGTTTTCTCTTTTCAAACTCTGATGTTCCAAAGATGCCCAGTCTGGTGGAAAAATTAACAACAAAGGGCTGGGAAAATTCAGGAAATAAAACCTCACTCCTTGAGCAAAGGAGCCCTCTTTATAGAATGTTGCAGCTACATGAGGTGGCCCAGGAAAATCCCCAGAACATAACCAAGCAATAACAGACCAGAACAGTGGTTCTCAAACTATGGGCCCCAAATCAGCAGCTTAGCAACATTTGGGTACTTGTTAGAAATGCAGATTCTCAGGCCCCACCTCAGATCTTTAGAATCAGTAATCTGGGTGGGGGTGGAGCTCAGTGGTTTGTGTTTTGTTGAGTTCTCCAAGTGATTCTGATAATTCTTCCAATCTGAAAACACCTACACTCTAGTCAGAGTCTTGACATAGACTATACTCAGTCTATGTTAGAGCTAAAAGGTAGCTTAGGGATAATATGTTCAAATCCCTCACTATTCAGTAATGAGGAAATTGAGGTGTCAAAAGGTGACATGACTGGTTAATTTCATCCAGCTAATGAGCAGTTGTCTCCCTAAAGCACAAGCATTATGAGTCCTGAGATTTCAAGCAGCCCGGCAGGCTGGGCTCCCTATTTCAGCCCTGAGCTCCTGCCTAAACCCATTCCTTGGCTCCGAGTGTATCAGTGCCTCCGTCCAGTCATGCACGGCACGTCCTGCCAGGTTTGCAGGTGTGGTCCATGTACTCAGAGGAGTGCCACTGGAAGAGTTAAACAATTACCAACCCTTGCTGGCCTTCCTGCTCTTTAATGCCACATACCTGCCCCATTACCTGCAAAGGTGAGCTCAGATAGAAGTTGTGATCACACCTCCCTGGCCACCTGCCAATGCTGAGGGGGGTGGGATTGGGTTGCCATGGTTACCACCTTATTTACACAATTAACATTTAGACAATAAACCTAAACCTTCCTAATATTACACACCCTGGAATACAAGATCATGAACGGTACAGAATCCCTGGCCCAGGTATAACTTTCCTTTTAAAAAATTATGTTTTCAAATTTTTTCATAGAGATGGAGGCTCGTTGTGTAGCCCACGCTGGTCTTGAACTCCTGGCCTCAAGCAATCCTAACCACCTCAGCCACTGAAGGTGCTGGGATCATCAGTGTGAGCCTCTGTGCCCAGCCTAGGTATAACTTTCTGAATTATCCTATGGAAGGAACAGACCTCACAAAGATACATTATATGAGTTGGTGAATGGCTTGGAAAAAAAAAAAAAAAAGAACTCAGTGTTTATTTGAGCAAAAGTCTCCTTATTAAGTCAGAAGGCAGACAGCAATTCTTAGCCCTATCCTTCCATATCCATAGGAACTGGAGAAAGGAAGATGAGAGGAAGGCCCTCCAGAATTTTTTTTCAAGGTCACTATTTCCATGAATGGCACTACAAAGTACATGTCCTTATCTGGGCTATCAGACATACTTTAAGTTATTTTTAAATCACATGTCAATTTCCAAACATATTTAGAAAAACTTGATCATGAGGGATGAAGGGCAGTAGACAATGGATTATTCTGAGTTTAGAGCTACATGGCTTTTACAAGCAAATGAAGAATTTAAGCGGTAAGACTGATGTCTAAATATGTGAGTACCAATTGCAATGTAGAAGTCTGTTTAGAACAGTGCTTCTCAATAGGAAGCAGTAGGAAGCTCGGGTTTCTGAACCTTCTCAAAATATTAAAAATGCAAATGCTCCTCTTCTGGATAGAGGTAAACTTCTTGGGGCTGGGAATGGGGGGGATTGGTCCATTTTCCAGGTTATTCTAATAAATAGCTGCCTCCTAGTCTCAGTACCCTCCCTACTTTCATCCAACTCTCCTCAACTCCAGCAAGGGTACAAAAAGTATAAATATGTAATTCATAGAGATTCCAAAATTCCAAAATATAAGACTGCGTTCTCTGAAGAGGAGCCAAATCTTAATCATCTCCGAATTTTTATACCCTGTAACAGAGGTAAAAAACTAGTGCAACCCTCTGTTATGCTAGCCTACAAACATGCATTATGCTGTACACACTGTGTTTAACTTATTTTTAAAATAAGGGTTTTTTTTGTTGCTGTTTGCTTGTTTTTTGAGATGAAGTCTTGCTGCTCTGTCGCCCAGGCTGGAGTGCAGTGGCACAATCTGGGCTCACTGCAACCTCCACCTCCTGGGTTCAAGCGATTCTCCTGCCTCAGCCTTCCTAGTAGCTGGGATTACAGGCGCGCACCATCACGCCTGGCTAACCTTTGTATTTTTAGTACAGACAGGGTTTCATCATGTTGGCCAGGCTTGTCATGAACTCCTGACATCAAGTGATACACCCGCCTCAGCCTCCTGAAGTTCTGGGATTACAGGATAAAACAAAGTTTTGAATTAGTTATGACAGCAAATTCTATTTTTCAAAGATGCCTGCAATAATATCTCTCGCTCTCACGCTCTTCTAGAATGTAAACTTGTCACTTCCCCATCAAGAAGTAGAGACTATCTTTCCTGTCTTTGAATCTGGTTGGGCTTGGAACGGTTTTGACCAATATAGTATGACTGAAGTGATGTTGTATGACTTCTAAGACTGGATCATAAAAGGCCATGCAGCTCCCTCCTTCTTTGCAGGAACACTTGTGCTTGATGCTCTGAGCCACAGTGGAATGAGTCCCACTACCTTGAGCCCGCCATGATGTCAAGCCACATGGGAAAGCCACATTAAGTTGCTCCAGTTAATAGTCCTGATCATTGAGTCTTCCCAGCCTAAGCACTAGACATGTAAGTGAGCCTCTAGGTGATCCTAGCCCTTAGATGTTTAGTTGCTACCCTCACTTCCCCCAGCCTTTGAGTCTGACCATCTGAGGCTTCAGACGTGGTGAAGTAAAAAAAAAAAAAAAAAAAAAAAAACAGCTCCACTTTGCCTGAATTCCAACCAACATAATCCATGGGAAAAATAAAATGATTGTTTTAAAGTGGATACATTTTAAGTAAATTTGTTTTGCAGAAATAGTACTAAAATAGCTTCCAATATCTATTCATAAAGAGATTTCTATAAAATGTCAAATTGTCTTGAAAAATTGGAGAATATGGAAGATAGATTTCATGTGTACACAAAGCAAGGCCCTAGGTAGCCATGCCGGATGCTGTGAACCAAAGTTTGACAGCATGAACTCTTACATTCAGCCTGTTGTTTTTCTTATGCAGCCAAACTGTTTACCTCAAATTGCAAAAATAGAGGACCGAGAGAACCCTGAATCTTTTATATCAGCACCATCTTGCCTGGCTCCTCTGTGTGTTTGAGATTTCAACCCCTGCCCTAGAATGTAGCAAGCACATGATAAATATTTGTTGAATTTCAAAATCAATCTATCCTTCTTCTTGCTGATTTATATTATCTCTGGATTCTGCTGATAAAAATTTCCTTTCCCATAGGTTTAATAGCCCTTAGAACATCTTTTCCCTTTCTTTTTGCCTTTCTTCCTTCTTTCTTCCCTATCTCCATGCTTCTCTTCTTCTTCCTTCCTCCCTTCTTTTTTCTTCCTTTCTTTCCTTCCTTTTCTTTCTTCCTCCCTTATTTTTCTCTTCCTTTCTGCTTCTCTCCCCCTCCTTCCTTTTTTCCTTTCTTTCTTCCTTCCACACTTCCACATTCTTGTAGCTGCCATCCCTGTTTGTATATCACATCGCTACATACAGTCTGTCCATTCATTTCCTGCTCAGAATATAGAATGGTAAAATAATAGTTTTCAAGCTGGAAAAGGCTTGTCTCTTAGCAGAAGGGCACCTTCTTGTTCAAGCAGCACCTTCCTCAGAAGCATTTAGGGAGTTCTTTAAAATATAGAAACCAGGGCCTCTCCTCAGACCCATCAACTCAAATTGAGGGTGTTGGTATAGAAATATGGATTTTATCAAATACTTCAGGTGATTTTCATGTACATTGTGCTTTTAAAATCAGTCTAGCCTTCTTTAAATAATGAAGTATGAAAGATGGGTTCTTCCGTTAAACTCTGAGAGTGCACAAACAGGCCTGATGCGACCTGGATCATGGGTGCAGGGGTACTGCATAAAGGTCAAAGAGCACGCAAGAGGCTGTGACGCAAATGAGATGACAAGACAAAGAGAAGTTGGGGCCACGACCTCTCATGGCACAGAGACTTAGGAGACCAGCTGAGCAAAGTGGGGACTCCTTATTATGTGGTCTGTGAACCTGGACAGGAGAGAAAATTCCACCTTATTTGTTCTAACCTTCAACTGAAATGTTTCACTTCTTTTCAATATGTACACAGACCACAAATCACAGAAGCATTAGCAGGCTGCATGACTTTGCCCCTAAAAGAAATCAAATATTTGTATATCCTAGGGATGCCCTATGGTACCATTTTCACTCATTACTACTTCAAAATTATTATATTTTTAGCACCTACCTCATATCATTCTAATTGACTATTAGAGAAATACATCCATTACTGTAGTATAATTCCAAAAAAAAAAAAAAATTGGTATGTAGTTGGTTTCCCTTGAAACCCCACATATTTTATCTTATGGATTTAAAACTATCCTCAGGAAGGAATCCATAGGCTTCACCAGACTGTCAAAGGTCCGTCTGCCAGAAGCCCTGGCTTAAAGGGACAGGCAAGCTGTGACACAAGCCAGCCTGTTTTTTACAGCTCTACTGGATCTATCCCAGAGTCTGCCACCTTCTGTCTGCACCTCTTCCCAAGGAAGAGGCAACTGAGGCAGACAACATAGGTGGGGAAGGTCCCCCAGGTACATTCAGCAGCTAAGCTCTTCCTCCTAGGTGTCTTTAGGCACAGACTGCAGCTCATAAACCAAGTCCATCAGCCTAGCCTGCCAGGAAGAATCCATGACCTTGGGCCTGGATTGAGATATACAAGGCCGAGGGATCATCTTCTCCAGGAGACTGGGCCCCCCATCCAGCCTCATGGCTGGGTGTCACCAGGCCCATGACCTGCCTCTAAAGTCACTTTGCAGTCATCTTTTTTTCTTTACTTCCTTCCTTCCTTCCTTCCTTCCTTCCTTCCTTCCTTCCTCCCTCCCTCCCTCCCTCCCTCCCTCCCTCTCTCTCTCTTTCTTTCTTTCTTTCTTTTGAGATGGAGTCTCACAATGCCACCCAGGCTGGAGTACAGTGGCAAAATCTCAGTTCGCTGCAACCTCCGCCTCTGGGGTTTCAGTGATTCTCCTGTCTCAGCCTCCCCAGTAGCTGGGATTACTGGTGCCTACCACCACACCTGGCTAATTTTTCTGTATTTTTAGTACAGATGGGGTTTCACCATGTTGGCCAGTCTGGTTTTGAACTTCTGACCTCAGTGATCCTCCTGCCTTGGACTCCCAAAGTGCTGGGATTACAGGCATGAGCCACCGTGCCTGGCCACAGTCATCTTTTATAGACAGCAATAGAAGTGCTGGAATGAGACAGTCACACTGGCTGAAAAGCAAAGTAATACATTCTTTTACAGAGGGCCTGAGAAGGACAACTAACCTCTCGTTAAAAACAGCAACACTTGTTACAGGCTGAAGGGCTAGGCACTGTGCAAAGGGCCAGGCACTGTTCAAAGTCATTTATTCATCTTCACAAAATCCCTAGAGAGTCAGAGGTTTTTTTCAATGTCCATGTTAATCTCTGCTTTCTAGATGAAGAAAAAGAGGTTCTGCAAGATCAATCAATGTGTAATATTAATATCTATAATTACCAGTAAATAATTATTGCTTATCAGTATTAATGATTTAGATAATTTTGATACAATATTGTTTATTATATTAATTATAGGAAATTATTACTTACCAATAATATTTATAGTAGCTAATAGTATTAACAATATTGCATCCTGACCTATATCAGATCACAGACTGTGCATTGAACTTTCATTTTTTCATATAATGTTAACCAACCCTCTAAGATGGGTTCCATTATTATAGCTATTTTCCAGATGAAGAAATCAGATACTAAGCACTAGCCCAAGGTCCCCAGCAAGGAGCTGGCTTTCCTTGGAGGACTGGTATTTGAACCTAGTCTTCTCTGACGGAAAGCTCACGTGTTCTCCCTTACATCCAAGGCTTCTGGTCCTCACTGTATCACTTATGTTAATATTAATGTCCCTTTAGCCCTACATATTCTTGACTAGTTGGTATTAGGAAACTAGTCATGGGACCTTCCAGGAAAAGGGAGGGGCAGGCAGCTTCCATGGCTCAAAAGCAGAGCTATGGAGCCTTTTCCTTCAGGCCAGAATCTTGCAGACCTTGCTCTACTATTCCCCATGTCTTCTGCAACTTGAGTCAGCAGCTGAGCAAAAGCCACAAAGACAGTCCCAGGAGGTGTGGTCTGACCAGGAATAAACACAGGCAGGGAACATTTGAACCAAAATGCACAGAAACTTGACAACCAGGACATGCCAGGACACGCCAGCTCATGGCTCATAAAAATTGCAACTTTTATTGTGAACATTCACAGTCACCTGATGAAAATAATAATGATAATAATAAAAATACCTGGTGACACTACCGGGGTTCCCTGGGATTGGGGGGTATAGCATTATGCAAGCTCTACTGTGGAGAAAGAGCTGTGAAACCAAAGGCAAAATGGACATTTTCTTGCCCTTGAAGGGAGGACGTGCAGGGTAGGGTTAAGGGGAGGAATTTCCCTGGCTCATTCCATGACGCCGAGACCAAGGTTAGAAACGAACTGAACCACCTTGTAAAAAGCATTATATATAAAGTCATCTGTTTACCTCTGCCGCTGCTGTCACAAGCCCACGTTCCTATCAAGGGTTTAAAGCAAACACTGTAAGCGGCTAAAAGAACAACATCGTTTCTGATTCTCTCCTAAGACCTAATTCACTTACAAAATAGGTTTATGAAGTTGAAATTATGGGAGGGGAGGAGAAAGGGGAAAGACAAGAACCCTTTTATTTAGCATCTTATTCACAATGAAAATTGGCACAGGAGCCAACCACATACATTAACAGAGCTTGGGCAAGTTTAAAGCTTATGAATACATTTCTGTGGAAAAATGTGAATATGGAAAATCCCCTCTCTTATTTTGCCTTTTCCAAAAAAGCAATGAGTTCTGGGCTCAATGTGTATCCATAACCTCAGTTAGAAATGCCAAGTGGGACTGAGCTGGGAGAGCCCAGGTCTGAAGGGAGACAAGAGTCTGCTACCCTGGAAACCAGAGGAGAGGCAGGAAGGAGGCTGCGAACTCACTCTGAAGTCAGACTTCATCATAAATTGCAGAGGGAGGCCCATCCAGAGTATGCTGAGGTTCTCTGCATCTCTCTGGTGATATAGGTGCTTGCTAGAGAAGACTCATTAAAATTAGAAGAGAGGGAAAGAGATCTGTTTCAAATCTTGCTCAGGATACATCAATTAAAATGCGAGTTATAGGTAGGGCATTGCACATAGCAATAACCAGAAGTCCATTATAAAGATCTTGTCATTGAGTTTTATTCAGAGATTTCTTCCTTGAGGAACATTTACATCTTCAGAAACACAAAGTAATTAACCTTCCTAAAAACTGCATTGAAAATAGAAGTTTCTGCCAATATTCTTCTTGCTTTAGCAGTGTTACAAGCATTAGGAAATGCTTTCCTTGACAGTGTCTCTAGCAAAAAAGGGATCTGACAAGTTATTCACAGAGGGGAAAGGAGTTTAGAGATAAACAGACTAAAGAAGTTGTCAACATCTTCAGCACACCATCCATCAGTATATTTGTCTTCCATCCATCCATCCATCCATCCATCCATCCATCCATCCAACCATTCATCCACCCAACCATTCATCCGTCCACCCATCCATTTATCAATCCACCTGTCCTTCCCTCAACAAATATTTATTGAGGGCCCAAAAGGCACTTGCCTATGCATATGCAAATGTCTGTAGAAGGTCTGGGAAAACACTCACAATCCCTGAAACTCATCTTCACTGCTTAGCCTGAAGAGCTACAGCATTGTTGGTCCTGAGAGATCCAGCACGTATAAAGGCTATGAAGTAGGGAAGAGATCACTTATGACACAAATGGAATTCTAAGAAAATACAGAAGCAACCACTTTGCCAGAAAAGATCAAATAAGAAAATCTAATAATCAGAAAGAAACAGTTAACATATTTCTAGGAAGCACTTGGCAAGTACTTATTGAGCATCCACTATGGGGTGGGCTCTGGACTGGGCCCTGGGAAAACAGATGTTTCTTCTATACCCATCCTCACAGCACTCCTCAAGTCTAACTGGGAAGGCAGACAGGAAACAACATATGCACCTTGCCATAAGTGCTGCAGGCTCTGTGAGAGCTGGTGCCAAAGCATATATTGGTCTGCAAGCTTGGACAGAAAGTGGCATGTGCAAAGGCCCCAGGGTGAGAACTAACTGAGTGCTTTTGGGGACATGTCTGAAGGCCAGTGTGGCTGAAGGAGCAGGTCATTGAAGGCGTTGTTGGCTGTGCTTAAGGGAGTGAAAAACCACTGATGGTTTCCCACAAGGAAAAGACACTATTATGTTAGCCTTCTGAAACTATGCTACTGGCTTCTGGGAGTAGAACGACTTATAGTGGCAAATGGTAGAAGCAAGAAGATCACCGGAACAGGCATTCAGGCAAGATGGTGGTGACACATGAACTAGCACCTTTCAGGTGGGAATGAAGAGAATGAGAGGAGGTTAAGAGCTATATAGAGGAAAAAGCACTGCAAGAGAGAAGAAAATCAGAGCTCCTCTTTTGGAAGCAAATGAATGAGAAAGGAAGAACATGCTTCCCTGCTCAGTGGTGATGGAGGTGTCCAGAACATGCAGGAGTCAGGGTGGGATCTAGGGCCGACAATGTCTTCCAAGCTCAAGCAGGTTCGTGCCAGGAGTTGGAGGTTGTGGGTGGACTGTTCTTGAGGCCAGCTGCCCACCCAATTTAGCTACAGGGAGAGAAGATCTGAATCTAGCCTGCTCCCAAAACGTCAGATACATCTCCATTCATTCTCATTTTCCCAGTAGTCTAGTTTTTTTTTTTTCTTATGTTTTCCACATTTTGAAGTTTCTAGGCCTGTAATCCAAACATGAAAAAAGAAAGTGGCAAGTTTTCGATACTTGAAATTAACTTTTTATCTATTCTTAGAATAAAATTCAGCAGTCATAGAAAGGGATGCTCACATATTAAAATGTTAAAATTGTTTTCAACTTAATTTTTTTGAGATAGTGTCTCACTCTGTTGCCTGGGCTGGAGAGCAGTGGCAGGACTGTAGCTCACCACAGAGTCAAACTCCTGGACTCAAGTGACTCTCCTGCCTCAGCCTCTGAAACTGCTGGGACTACAGGCGCACACCACCATGCCCAGCTCAGATTTTTTATTTTTAGTAGAGATGAGGTCTTGCTATGTTGTCCAGGCTGGTCTCAAACTCCTAGTCTTAAGTGATCCTCCCATCTTGGCCTCACAAAGTGTTGGGATTACAGGCATGAGCCATCACACCTGACCCAACTTAATTTTTGAAAATGATGAAATAAGAATTCTGGTGGCCTGGAATCATAGTTTTAGCCCAAAACACATATGCCTCACCTATTCGGGAAATGAAAGCTTTCCCTGCCACATAAGGATATGATGTGACACTGTCCACATTTGTCATGTCACTCCGCTTTCAGATCACCTGTCACTGCATGGACAGCAGTAAGTTAACAATTACCTTGAACTTCCTGCTAATGAGCCTTCATAAATTACTAATTAGAGTCCCTTAAATGACTAGAAAGTTGAATCTGGATATCGCATCCTATGAATTTGTCACAACTTTGTCAACTTATTGTATAAATTTGGCAAGTGATTATCTTCAAGTAATGCAATTATCATTTTGTCAACCTGTTATTCAAAAGATAGCTATGGCCACCACTTCTATAACAGCAAAATTGACCAAGATTCTAAAAGTAAATAATAATATGTTTACATATCTGATAAAAACTTATAAAACTCCTAGTTTGCTTTTTTTTTTAAGTTATGGAATGAAAGCAGGTATGTAGAGAATAGAAGGTGGTTCTTGTTACTTTTCAAAACCAGTTCATCTTTTTTAGTGAGTCACATCCCTGTGGCTAAGCCAAGTTCTTCCACGTCCCCACTGGCCTCGGCTTTGGGAGCCCTGGGTGTGACTCACGGGTCATGATCCTGAAGACAGAGCCCTATATTTCTCCAAAAACAATTTAGGCCCCTCCACCTGTGACGCAACGCTACAACTCCATATAAATCAGTGGGAGCTTTTATGGGTTGACTAATATGTTAACACCCTGTGATCCAGAAATGGAGCTGCCTAAGCTTTTTTTTTCTTAGGTTGGGTCATACAAATTGTGTCTCAGGCAGTGGTTCTAGAGTTTTCAGTGTCTCTCAAGATGATGGCAGGATGAGACAACAATTGGATGATTGATATGCATGACTTTGTGCAAATCTTACCCATTTTTGGTTGGAAAGAGATCAATCCCTGTGCATTACGTTGGCTCTCAGCATAAAGCTGAGTTATAAAAACGTCATTCTTGGAACTGCAAGAACTGCCCCTATCTTCCAGTATAGGAATCAAAAATTATAATATTTGAACTTAATAACTGTGGACACAACACCATTCAGCCTTATTAGAAGGATCAAAGGAAATTCCTATTTATACTTTTTTCATGCTATTTCAACTTAGCTTTGCAATGTTTCATATCCAAACCACCTGTAGGAACCACTTCTTGCCATCTTAACAAATTCCTCAGGAGGCTATCTAATATCATTCAACAATATGTAAAAGATAAGAAAACATCATTTTTAAAGAAAAATCAAAATAAAATGTATTTTAGATTTTTTTTAACTTTTAGTTTCAGGTGTGTTACATAGGTAAATTGCACGTTGCAGGGGTTTGGTGTACAGTTTATTCCATTACACAGACAATAAGCAATCATTTTTGATCCTCATCCTCCTCTCACCCTCCACCCTCAAGTAGCAACTCAACGTATCTGTTATTAAATGGATATGGTTTTGAAACTAACCCATGATTGCAAATGAGTGTGAACTATAATCAATTCGTTGCTGCCCAGAGCATGGTTGGAAAGAATACTGGTTCTGAAGGGAAAATTACTGAATTGATTAGTAATGCCATAGGCTCAGAATTGGGGAATGGTGGCTTTAGTGCCATGTATTTGCTATCCATACCCTACTTCACAAGCCAGAACATTAAAAATTACTTTATTGTAAATTAGATGGAATACAATCTTAAGATAACACATTATCTAATAAATTCCCATTTTTATAAGTACTCTGTATTTCTCCTCAGTCAAGAAAGCCCTATTACCAAAATTTAGAAGGACTAAGCAGTGAAGAACACATCTACACAAAATACTCAGATACCCTCCCCCATGGTTTATTATTATTATTATTATTATTATACTTTAAGTTCTGGGGTACATGTGCAGAATATGGAGGTTTGTTACATAGGTATACACGTGCCATGGTGGTTTGCTGCACCCATCAACCCATCATCTACGTTATTTCTCCTAATGCTATCCTTCCTCTAGCCCCCCACCCCCCAACAGGCCCCAGTGTGTGATGTTCCCCTCCCTGTGTCCATGTGTTCTCATTGTTCAACTCCCACTTATGAGTGAGAACGCACGATATTTGGCTTCTGTTCTTGTGTTAGTTTGCTGAGAATAATGGTTTCCAGCTTCATCCATGTCCCTGCAAAAGACATGAACTCATCCTTTTTTATGGCTGTATAGTATTCCATGGTGTATATGTGCCACATTGTATGGCGATCCTCCATGATTTCAACATTAAACATATGCCAATGACTTCCAAATGTTTGTTCTTCAGACCCAGAATTGTTCCTGAGCTTTGGATTGTATTTTTAGTTGCTTACTAGACAGCTTCATCTCAAAAGTAACAAACTAAAACAGCAACAACAAAACACTTCTTACCTGAAAAAAAAATCTCTTTACACATTTTCTATTTCATTAATGGCATAATTATGAACTCAGACTAGAACCTTAAGATTATTCCTCTTTTCTTTTCAATCATTTGACACAATCAGCCACCAAATTCTAGCAATTGTAAGGCTTGACTTCTACCTCTATCCTAAACCTAACACCATTTTTGGGGGTATTAAGTTTCCATGGTTGCATAGCAAATAACCAAAAAAAAATAGCAGCTTAAGATAATTTGTTAGCTCACCATTTCCCTTGGTAAGAAGCCTGGGCATGGTTTGGCTGAGTCCTCTGCTCAGAGTCATACTCATTGAAGGCTCTGAAGGAGTTTCTGCTTGTGTGCTCTTTCAGGCCATTGAAGGATCCAGTGCTGCTGTGTAACTGAGATCCCATTTCCTTGCTGGAATCAGCTGTGGGCTACACTGAACTCCTAGAGACCCACCATCCATGCCACATGGCACCTCCATCTTCAAAGCTACAATGGAGAATCTCCCTCCCATCAAATCCCTCTTATGCCTTGAATCTGTCTCATCAGGAAGATGCCTATCACTTTTGAGGATTCATGGGATTAGTTCAGACACATTCGTGATAATTCCCTTGCTTAAAGTCAATTGATTCGTGACCTCAATTATTTCTGCAATATCCCTTCACAGAAGCACTGAGATTAATGCTTGATTGAATAGCTTGGAGAAGATGTGTGGACATCAGGGGATGTGGATTTGGGGCAATATCTTAGAATTTTGCCTTCCACTTTTTTCATGGTCACTGTTTTAGATGAGGCCCTAATAATCTCTGTGTAGACCGTTATAAGGACCATGTGACTCTGTCTTGAATGGGGTTCTCCCAGAAGCAGAACTTGAGATATAATATTGCAAGTTTGGGAAGTCTATTTGTAAGGTAAACCCAGGAAGCATTCCTGGGGAAGTAAGGAAATTAAACAGAAAAGAAAGGAAACCAATACAGGACATGTTGGTAAATACAGTACTTCCTCCTTATCCCTGATGGATACATTTCAAGTCTCCCCTATGGACGCCTGAAACCGTGGATGGTACTGAACCCTATATACACCGTTTCCTTCTATACACGTTATACCTATGATAAAGTTTGGTTTATGAATTAGGCACAGTAAGAGATTAACAACAATAACCAATAATAAAATAGAACAATTATAACAATATACCACAAAAGTCATGAGACTGTAATCCCTCAAAGAATTTTATTGTACTGTACTCACCTACTTTCAGCTCTTGGTTGACTGGGTAAGTGAAACCACAGAAAGCAAAACTGTGGATAAGGGGACTACTGTATGTTACCACCATGGGCATCTGGGGCTCACTCCTGCTGACAAGGGTGGGGAAGCTGAGGTATTTATCTCCCGCCTCCCACCTTTATTGCTTGAGGACTGCTCCTTCCCATTACATATATGCTGTCTGAATTTTTCTCTTCTTGACTAACTAAATACACAGATATGATCCTGTTGCTCCTCTTTCTAAAAATACCTATCTGTCAATACAATCAACAACCATTTATTAAGCATCTATAACATGCAATGCCCTGGAATAATCACTGTGGACTCAACAGTGAAAAGGTAGCCACTAATGAAGCTTATGATGGAAATAGTCTAAAAGTTAAATTTAGGCTGGGCACAGTGGCTCATGTCTGTAATCCTAGCACTTTGGGAGGCCGAGGCAGGCGGATCACTTCAGGCCAGGAGTTCGAGACCAGCCTGGCCAACATGGTAGAACCCCATCTCTACTAAAACTAGAAAAAAAAAAAATTAGCTGGGTGCAGTGGCACACATCTGTAATCCCAGCTACTCAGGAGGCTGAGGCATGAGAATTGCTTAAACCTCGGAGGTGGAGGTGGAAGTGAGTTGAGATCACATCACTGCACTCCAGCCTGGGAGACTCCATCTCAAAAATAAGCAAAAAATAAAATAAAATAAAAAATAAAAGTTAAACTACAAAATTCCTTACCACAGGTCACAGGTCCTTCAAAATCTGGTGTGAATTTAATTTGAAAGCATCTTCTTTCACATTCTCCATTAAAACCATCCTCTATTCAAGTCACCCACAGTCCTCAGTGTTCTTGGAAAATGTGTTCTTTCACAATTACATCAATTTTGCTGAAACTAAAAATGTTTTTCTCTCCTCCTTTTTAGATATTTTATTTCTATAATGTACCTGGTTCAACATCGGCTTCCTCTGAGCATCACCCCGACATCTCTGCCTCAACTGTATTTATTATTCTTATTACTCCTACCTCAGGGCCTGCTGCATAGGAGACCCTTCTGGAATAAACGCACTTAGCAACCACGAAAGAATGCAACAATATCCGAGTGAACTCTTTCTCATATAAATAATCGTTTTAAAATTTCTCTTTGTTTTAGATTTCTATGTATGGCATTATTATGCTTGGTTTCATGTATATGTTTATTTAGATAGGTAACTGAGATAGAGATGACTATCTATGAATAGAGAAAAATAGACATATAAAAGTAAGACAAGAATAATAATTTTAATAAGCATTTAAATTGGTTCTTAATATTCTGGGATTCAGCACAAGAGCTGGCTGACCAATGTGTTCTTGGGGCTGGTTTTAAAGCAGAAGTTCTCGTAGACATTAGGGAGAATTAAGCAATGCCGAATTCTCAAATTTATGTAAACTGTATCTCCTTTCTTCTGAGAAAAAAAATATTTTTCAATATATCCTCACTATGTTTTCCCCTTATTTTCCTCCTAGACCAAGTATTTGGAAGCATATCGATAATGTATCTGACTTACTAAAAGGCTACTTTTTAAAACAATTCCACCTTTAATGCTGTGAAGCCCAGTGCACATTGTAAAGTAGATATAAGTAATGTCTGTTAAGCAACATAAGGGCATTTAAAATCACAGTGGACCTATACAGTAAAATACGTATTTTAACCAAAAATGTCCCACATTTGTACTGCCACTGAAAATGAACTTCTGGACTCAGAAATCTGAGGTACATAGTTGAGATTCCTTTTGTTTCCCTTGAGCCTTTCTTGGTTCAAGAAGACTGCCAGTTCTAGAACACATTTCTCTTACTTAATACTTTGTTTTTAATAGCTATTATGAACTCCTATTATATGCTAAGCATTCTACTATGTGTTGAGGTTTTAAGCATAATATTGAAAGAAATGCATCAAGAAAGAAAATGTTAATTACTTTGTCTCAATAAATGTTATACCCAGTAGGCCCCAGATTTTAAACATTCAATTAGCAAAGGACTGACTTAATAAGGTTTGTGTAAAACCTCATTACCTTCTAGGAGAAATTGTTTAGATTTCAGATTAGGAATCCTATCATCACAATACCGAAAGAATACTTCCCTGAGTGAAACAGACAAGATTGCGTTGTCCCAGAAGTCAAGAAAAGCCTAAAATACATCATTCTTTTAAGTTCCTATAATATTGAAAAATAAAGGTTATCATTTTATTTAAAAAATTACTAATTGTTTTAAATATTTATCTTAAACTTGCTAACACTTTTAATAATACAATGCAATAGAAAATTGTGATATTTATAAGATTAGTACATGTATTTATAAATAGTATTATTTCATGGTTTATTGGAAATTGAATGGTTCAGTTAAAAGGACACAAGTTTTAAGTTGTAAAATAGACATCTTTGGATTCATCATTAACCTCTATAACAGTATGCATGTACGCACAATCACATTTAGAGAAAATGTCAAAGCCTTATTTATTAACTCCTTTGGACACTGAGTGTCTAAATGTGAGGTCACACTGAAGTGTCCCAGGACATGCCCCAGTCAAAAAGGGGAAAGTGGCTGATATTTTGGAGCTGTCATTGCCCAGGACCCTGGCATACATGAGAAGGGATATTTTACTTTAGAAATATTCTCCGTTTTTAGAATCAAGACAGACTTCCCTCTCAGCACCCCCTCTCCTCACCCACAAACCAAAATCCTTCCTGCCATTAAACATGAAAATCCCTTTTGATGCAAATAGAAAGTACTCTGTTCCTCCCTAACACACAACATACTTGGCCTATAGCACTTAAGCGTGATTCTAAGTTAGAGGAGGATGTAGCACCAGAACTAGGAGAAATTAGGCAGATATCTGGAAACGAGATAAGGTAGGAAAAAAAGAGGAAGGAAGAAAGAAATAAAGGAAAGAAGGAAGGAAGGAAGGAAGGAAGGAAGGGAGAGAGAGAGGGAGGGAGGGAAGTGGGAGGAAGGAAGAAAGGAAAGAAATGAGGGAAGGACGCAGGAAGGAAGAGGAAATAAGCAGATTTTTCAAGGAAGAAAAGACGGAAGACCTTGTCTAACAGGGCAAAAATAGAAAGGTGAAAAAGCTCCAGGGCCTTTGCAACACAGACATTGAATCAGGGCTCTAGCCCTTCCCAACAATGAAACGATAGGGGAATTCAGGGCTCGGGCACTGCTCCGGCATAACTGTGGACAGATTTTCCCCCATATGTTTACAGAATTCTGAAAGTACAGAAATAGCTGTTGAACTCTAAGCAGTTTTTGTAAAATTACCCTAGCTTGGAGATGTTTTCGTTCTACCCTGGGGACTCTTTGGTGAAATCTAAATAAGTGAAAAGCTTCAGCTATTTTGGAGATTTCCTTGCGCTAAATAATATTCTGTAGATTGGATTAAACACAGAAAAAAAATGTAGATTTTTCACATTCACATAAATCAAAATGGCTGAATGTTTAAAAACAAAAAACGTGCCCTCAGGCTGAAACCAATTATGGAAATTCTTAGCAAAAAGAGATAATTTATTAGACCATTTATAACAAGTACAATAAGCAAATGAAAACTGATCTCCATGACCTCAGCTACCATAAAAACTACGACGTTTTGTATGTATAAGAACGATCACAATAAGGTGTCCACATGGGCCCACGGGAAGAAGGATTGGGCTGTCAGTCTGCAAAAATCCTTCCTCATCAACACTTGATGTATCACTAACTTGGGAGACAGTTGGCTGAATAGTTGACAACTGGGGGTGACTTTTCTTTCTCCTGTGATTCTATTTGTTGACTTCATTGGCTTTCAGGAGATAATTTGATTGATTTCAGGAGATAGTTTGATTGATTAATTCACAAAGGCACAGTGAGAACATCCCTCTTCATCTGATTAGTTTCCATGTATTCTTCAGACAGCAGCTCAAGCATCACTTCCTCAGGGAAGCCTTCTCTAACCACAAACTCCCAACGCAATGAAGCTAAATATGACATTAGATAGCCTCTAATCAACTTCTGTCTGTCCCCTAGGTGAGAATCCCTAGAGTACAGAAATAATGTCTGTTGTGCTCACCATGATAGCCCGGTGCCTGTCACAGTGGCTAGCCTTTAGTGAATACTCAGTAAACATTCTTAAAATGAATTAGTAAAGCATTGTTAGGAAGACTTTGACTGCAAAGAACAGATATCCAACTGCATTTAATAAGCTGCCCAGACACAGGTGTTTTCAGAGTTGGTTACTTGAGCAGATCAACCACGTTGGGACACTTCACTGTCCATCTCTTGGTTTGCCTCTCATAGTCACAAGGTGGCTGCCACAATTATGAGCACATATTCTCACACAACTGGCTGTACAGCCAGCAGACAGAGAGGTAAGGAATCACTTCTCAAACATCAGGTTCTTACTAGAAAATAAAATCTTTCTATAGGGATTTTCTGTGAAGACTTCTCCCTCAGTACTCATTGGCTGGGTTATGGTCACATGACCTGAACTTATTTGCAAGGATGACTTGAGAAAAAATTATCTGGCATTTTCCATATCTATAATAAGGGGAGGACTCTGCAGGCAAGAGAAAAGGATGAGCAAGTGGCTACTGGATAGTAATCAGGTGTCTTCTGGAAAAGCCTAAAATTATATTTTTATTACCATTATTTTAAGAAACCCATCAATAAAATATGAACCCTGTTGTGCTATAAGAACATGGGGAGAATGTGTTTCTCATAGAGCTTTCCCTGGTCCAAAGGAGCAGATGTGCAAGTGAACTCAAAAATGCTTCATAAATTATTACTCCCAGTGTCTGATAAGAAAAAAGTGCTACCAATATGATGACCTTGAAGATTATTTTTAACCCCTATTAAATTGGAGACTCACATGAAAACTGTACCCCATATTATCTTGCCATCATTGGCTGATGTTATTTAACTGATGGCTGCTGTCCATTAGTGGCTGTCATTACAGCAAAATGGTTTTGTTGAATGTGGAGAATAATATTCCACACTCTTGTTGATTTTTTTTCTATAAATAAAAAAGCTGCTGTCAAGCACCTAGTAGATCAACCAAAACATCTGGTAATCACAGTTAAATAGATAAACATTGTTTGGGGGCCAAAAGAGTTATAGATTGATTGATATATTGACAGAGCCTCTGGAATGTCTCTGCAAGTTTATTGAAACCCATTATTATTGAGAAGTCGTAGACCCAACTTACTTCATGATTCAAATATGGGTTTTAATTGAAGTGCAGACACTGGAGACAGATTTTATGTCTTTTACCTTCTCCTCTGTCCAGATTAGCTCCACTTCTAACCCTGGTTTAAAAATTCCTCAGTAAGGGTCAAGGTGCTGAAATGTTCTGTTTAGCTTTGTTGGCAGGAATTTGACATACCTGGGAATAGAAGCCACTGGTACCATTGACTTGGAGATGAAGGATGAGTTCCTTCTTCAACTCAGAAAGATAGGAACACGAAGGCCCCACTCAAGGTTTTCCCAGATCTCAAAGATTAGTGAGTCCACTCTTCCTTGAAACTGTTGATCAGATCTGGCAAATTCATTCATTGTTTCAACTCACACTAGTACTGCCAAGAGTCCTGCAATCATGGGCCCTCCTCATAGCGGGATATCGTTACACACTGTGTCACTTGGGATCAGCTGAAATTTTGTTCAGGTGTGGGAAGTAACTCCCAGGAAAACCCATCTGATGGTTTGGTATTAGAGGAAATTCCTGGTTTACTTTGTGGCTGCTTCACAGGAAAAAAAAAAATGTTAATTGTATTATTTAGGCTTTTTGTTTTTCCTGGCCGCATCACCACCTATTACATTTTATCTTCCCTTAAACTCATTTCTTATATTTATAAGCTTTGCGATTTCCAAAAATTTAAAACTGTACCTCTCTAAGAATATTGTTCCCTTTTCCCTCCATTCTGAAAAGTTCCATACACACAGCCATTTCCCTATGTGCTGTGATTTGTATGTCATTCTCTGTGATGTGATGAGCCTCTCAAAATGTTTAAACAAATACCAACAGAGATTGGTTTGTTCACGTGAGTAAAGATTAGAGATGGCGGCATTTCTTTGGGGAAACTTGGAAAAGATTTAAGTTTGAGGATTTGATATTTCTCAAAGTAACTGAACATGTTCAATAGAATTAATCATATTTAGGACACATTTTAAAAAAAGCCAGGGAAAGATAAGTGATATGTTTCTTTGTGTTGTCCAAAGGCTATCTGCATTAAAATTAGCCAAGGAGCTTGTTTTAAAAAGGCAGATTCTTGGTTTCCTTTTTAAATGTACTAAATTCAGGGTTTTTCAGAATGGGATTTTGTAATATGGGATTTTGGAATCTATTCTTTTGTCTATTTCTCGAGGTGATTATTACGTATCTTTGGGAATAATTGGTAGAAGACATTTCCAGTCTATTAATTTCCCTGATTCATTGATCTGGAACAGAGAAGGTAAGTGGGTGATCCACAGGAAACAGGAGAAAGTTGTTAGTTTCTAAATACAGAGCTTGTCATAGCTGTAACTTAGAGTATATCGATGAAGGGTTTGGGGGTATCTTTGTGTCATGGACTTCTTTGGCAGACTGGGGAAGCCAATATATCCTTTCAAAAGCATGAAACAATACATAGATTATGAAATGAATTATGGTAAGGTACAATTTTATATGTGGACCCCATGAGGATCTGTGAACAGCAAATTAGGAATCTCTGAGCCAAGAGATAAAGTAACCCAACTATCAGAAGCCAGCTAAGTGGGAATGATCAGGTTTGATTAGATGCTGTCTGAGGCTTGCAGTATGATTGAGCACTTGCTTCAGCAGGAGAGTCTAACAATGCGTCAGAAGGAAGTCATTGAAGATGATAACAAAAGTGTTTAAAGGTGGAATCCATAGCAAAAGGGTAAAACACATATCCCAATTCCTCTTTTTTCTCCCTTTTCACTGGATCCTTCCTCTCGCCTACACAACTGAAAATTTCCTTCCATTTTAGAAGTTTTAGCTTGGTCCTACATCTCCCTCTAGCTACCATCCCACCTCTCTCTCTCTCTCTTTTTTTTTTTCTAGGTAGAGCATCTATTACAGAAAGAGACATTAGCACTTCACTCCTCTCTCACCTATAACCTACCTCCTGTCTTCATTTCACCACTGCTGTTTATTCTGCCACAATCAACAGCGTTTGACACTTCGGACCACTCCTTCTGTTTAGTACGCTGGTTTAGTTTCCTAACTCCTCAACTCCTCTTTGCCTGGTTTTCTCACTACTGCAAATGCTCCTTTTTAGTCTCTCCTCTGCTCCTAGTTTCCATCACCCCACAAATGCCCTCAACCCTATTTCCTTCACATTTTATCCATCCCTTCTTACAATTTCCACATACTGCCTGATCTTAGGTCTTCATCCATTTCTCCTGATTTATTGCACCAGTTGCCTAACTAATCCCCCCAACTTTTGCTCACCCCTCTGATCCATTCTGTACCCATTCCCAAACAGGAAGGAAGCATTCTCCTCCCTACAGCTGACCCTTCCCTTGGTTTTCATTGTTTGCCATAGTTTTCTTCCCAAATATCCTCTTGGAAGCTGTGCCTGTCTGGGAAGGCATGTTTCTGTGTGGCCCCAGAGTACCCTGAGACCTAAGTGATGCTTTCAATATTGCCTCATTGATTATCTCTCCTTCTAGACTATGAGCTCTGAGAGGCTTCATAGGACACACCCAGTCTTTTATGTCTCTCCTCACATCACACATAGGCTATAAATTTTTTAATCAAATTAGAAAAATCGCCTTAACAAAGGACTGATTTAACAAATAAAAATATAAATAAATAGGATAATAATAAATTACTGCCAATCATTCTCTGCCTCTTTGGACAATAAATGCTGTGGGAATTTTTGTGCAATTTATTCATTCACCGAACACACAGTTTTGAGTGACCTGTACGTGCTAATATTCAAGGTACTGGGGATTCAGTATTGAACCAAGAGACTAATGAGTAAGGTAGGTGATATGGTTTGGCTGTATCCTCACCCAAATCTCATCTTGAATTGTAGCCCTATAATCCCCATGTGTTGTGGGGTGGGGAGGACCTGATGGGAGGTAACTACATCATGGGGGCAGGTCTTTTCCATGCTGTTCTCATGATAGTCAATAAGTCTCATGAGATCTGATGGTTTTATAAAGGGCAGTTAGCCTGCACATGCCCTCTTGCCTGCTGCCATGTAAGATGTGCCTTTGCTCCTCCTTCACCTCCTGCCACAATTGTAAGGCCTCCCCAGCCATGTGGAACTGTGAGCCCATTAAACCTCTTTCTTTATAAATTACCCAGTCTTGGGTATGTCTTCATTAGCAGTGTGAGAATGGAATAATAAAGTAGGCAATACACAAATACATGCTAATAAACTGTGATAATTGTATGAAAAGAAAATGTCTTGAAGCACCTATGTAGCCAAGGAAAAATGCACACTATTTCTAGGAACAGCTCTGAGACCCTGGAGAGTGGAACTGGCCCTTGCATAAGTTTTAATATTTCCTTTTCCTTTAACTGAAGGCTTATGATAAAAATACCCTAAGGAATTTATTCTTTCTTTTTCCTCCACACACTGTTCTTAACCCTCTAGACTGACCATCCTCATGGGATGAGGAATACCCCTCTCCCCTGAAATCTGGGGTAAACCTGTCCTGCTTCACAGGCTGTTTTCTTTATCTGGATCCATCGTGGCATTCCATAAGCAAGCCTGCTTACTGATGACAACATGGTGCGGGAACAAAAGAGAGCTTCTTTTTGAAAAAGGCTTTTTCATGTCCCAGTTTTATTTCCATCTCCTTTATTCATCCCTCTGAAAGTGTTGCCACCTCCTTGGGCCAAGGGGGCCTCATTGGGTTGGCCTGGTTTTCTTGAGATCCATGACAGAGCTCCTTCTCTTTGGGGTTGGGGTGGGATTTGTGCTCCCCAAGGCATCACCTGAGACCAATAATCAAGGAAACTACGATAGTGCTGTTCTTCTTCTTCCTTCCATGTTGTTTACTTCCACCCTAACTTCTTGGAATTAGTATGTATCTTTCCAAGAAAGGAGAGGAAGAAAGTAATGAGAGAAAAGAACAACAACAACAACAAAAGAGGAAGCATACTTCAAATAGAAGGAGAATTGTAAATAGAAAGGATGGTGGGGCGTGGTGGCTCACACCTGTAATTCCAGCACTTTGGGAGGCCAAAGTGGGTGTATCACCTGAGGTCAGGAGTTCGAGACCAGCCTGGCCAATATGGTGAAACCCCGTCTCTACTGAAAATATAAAAATTAGCCAGGCATGGTGGCAGGTGCCTGTAATCCCAGCTACTCGGGAGGCTGAGCAGGATAATCACTTGAACCAGGAGGCGGAGGTTGCAGTGAGCCAAGATCGTGCCATTGCACTCTAGCCTGAGTGACAAAAGTGAAAATCTGTCTAAAAAAAAAAAAAAAAAGATGATTTTTCACTGTCCTTTTAATGAAAAGGAATAAATTAAAATGGGTGCTGAAGTGAAAGATATCACCACCCCATCTTGCCCCAAAGATCACTAGATTTAATAAATGTTTATTGAGCAACTGCTATGTTCCAGGCATTGTGCACAAGTTCTGTAGTGCACAAAGAATGTTGTAATTACTAAACAAACACATTCCATGAACTTGGGAGGGGGTTATCAGCATGCATGTTCCATGTTTTCCATCATTGGTGTAGGCCAGTGGTTCTCAACCTTGGCAGCATATTAAAGTCACAAGGAAATAACTTTTTTAGTAGCAATGCTAGGCTCTAACCTCAGATATTCTGACTTACTGATTTAGCATGAAACCAAGACATCATTAAGTTTTTTGTTTTTGTTTTTTGTTTTTGAGACAGAGTCTTGCTCTGTTACCCAGGCCGGAGTGCAGTGGCATGATCTCGGCTCACTGCAACCTCTGCCTCCCAGGTTCAAGCAATTCTCCTGCCTCAGCCTCCTCAATAACTGGAATTACAGGCACATGCCACCACACCCGGCTAATTTTTGTATTTTTAGTAGAGACAGGGTTTTGCCATGTTGGCCAGGGTGGTCTCGAACTCCTGACCTCAAGTGATCCACCTGCCTTGGCCTTCCAAAGTGCTGGGATTACAGGTTTGAGCCACCGCACCTGGCCCAGAGATTGCCAAATTTTTAAAAGGTGGTTTTAATGCAGAGCCAGGGCTGAGAACCATTGGCCCAGGCAATAGGTAAGGAAGGTGGTCTGATCATTCTGAAAAGGAACCAGACTAGATATTCCAAAGTCCAAGAAAGAATCTCTCTTCCTATACTCAATTTCCGTTCTGGACAACACGCTGACTTAGAGCCTTTGGAGGAATTGCTTTCTTTCCCAGCTCCTCTCTCCCAAGCACTGATCTCTACTCCCAATATCTCCCTACATTGAATTCCTCTTGTGGGTGCAATGCTTGGACTGCACTCTCTGTTTAATAATGGGGTTCTCCCATTGGCTACATCCCAACCAATATTCCTGCTCTTTTTCTCCAAGCCCCTCCCCTCACAAATAATATATATCCAGAACAGGTTGAAATCTCAGTGTTTGTTGGTAATCTATAATCTATATAATTACATTACTCAGCTACCAAACCTACTCCTGTAAAAAAGTAAGAGATATGTTTTTCCTGAGCCAGAAAGGTGGGACCCTGACACTCCCTCACAGTTACACCTTGGGTTGGGAAGGAGCCTTTATTTGCATGACAATTCCTCCACAAAGAATATCCACACCTCCTTTTCTGAGCCTTCCTTCCTGGCTGAGCTGGTGCTCATCAGGAAACAAAATCTCATCCTAGCCAATGGAACAGGCAGTGCCTTCAAAGTAGGCCAAAGAATTTGGAGCTTGTCTAACCAGAAATTCTTACCCACTCCCAAAAAATGCATATCCTGTTCCTCCAAAGGATGGTAATTAGCACCTGCTTCCACCACTGAGCTCCTGTGGGATCTGGCCAGTTGCTCTCACAGCTCCTCTGGTCTCTCTTGGCTCCCTAATGAACCACATCAGTCACATGATGTGCCACCTAATCTAGTAGAGAGGGTGTTGCAGGACTCTGTTAACTTAGGTGTGACTGCCTTAACAAAATCATTAGAGAGTACATAAGAAAGGATGCGGCTAGAACATAGCTAGGGATATCCAATTAATTTGACAGCCACAAGTTCCTTCCCAGAAAGATTATAACATCATAGAATACTGAAGCTTGGAGAGGACCTTAGAAATGATCTGATCCAGATGTTAACATTTTAGGACTCCTGGCTTCTGATTAGATCTGTCCAAAGCAATGGACCTTCTTCCCAGAAAAATATGTGTACACACAAAGTTTTTTTCACAGCTTCAGGAGGTTGGACTACAAATACCATTGATTGGGCTTATGAGCCCCCTGTAGAAGAAGGCTGATACAGTCTAACCCCCTCCCCACCACCCCAGTACACTTATACACATTTTATAGGTGAGGACACTGCAGTCCAGAGAAGAATGAGGTTCTCCAAATGACTCATAGATTAGTAGCAGAAACGCAAGCTCCAAATTCCTGATTCTAGTCCCATAAGACTCAGCCAAGACCACTGTTCTAATACCTTCTTAGATGTTTTGGGACTGACTTTTTCAGGGACGATTGTCCTTTATCTGAGGATTCCCGTTGGACTTTTCTCTGTGTGCACGTTGTGTCTTATTGGCAAAATGGGCAATCATATTCCTTTTACTGGGCAGCCTCTTTCTTAGGAGAAATGACTTAATCTACTCAAAATATTTCCAAGCATAACGTCAAGGGGTTGGAGAGCCTGAGAACCATGTCTTCACCAGAGCACCACCTGGTGGAACATTGGAATAAATTCTATGTAAGCCCAGGGAAATGCCTAGGATGCAGGGAACAGCAGTTACCATTTCTTCCATTTTTGGTGCCAGGACAGTAGTTTTATCCGGATTTTTTGGCCTGAGTAGTTTTCAAAATATTACCGAATAAAACCAGATTCAAAGATTAAGTGACACCCTGTAAAACTCAAATTATTTCCGAACTCTTTATACAAAATTGATACTTTTGTTCCCCCCTTTTAACAACAGATACATCTAAAAGCAAGGGGAAAAAGTATTTCTCTGGGGTAATAAATTGCCAACTACATTTGTCAATTGGAAAGAACTTCAAGTGAGTGGAGTTTTCTTATACTGTCCCATTATCTAGAGGCAATGAAATTCTATTTCTATCTCTGCCATCTAGGGTGAATAATCCTGGGTAAATCATTTAATTGCTGTCATCTGTGGCTTAGAGATAATTGGAGGTGATGACCGTGACACTTACTAGCTGTATGACTTTGACACTCTAGTACTCAAACTTCCTGTGCCTCAGTTTCCTCTTCTCTAAAATAAGGAATACAATAATATCACACAACTATTAAGGTGGTCATGAGGACTTACTTACATGATGTGGGCTTTGTTGCAAGAGCTCTTCACAGTACCCGGGACATCTCAAGTGACAGATACATTTTTTCTGAAAACATTAGTTGTTGGGGAATTACCTGAGATATCCATGTGAAGCAACTGTGTAATCCTGGGTTCACACTACTTACTTAATATTTAGCTTACATTTATAAAGATTCAGTGGGAATGACTTAGTGGTGAGAACATAACCTCACACATTTCAACATCACATGTGATTTGGCATACTAATCAGACCTAGAAAAATCAGATGTTACTGAGGGCAGGAAACCAAGAGACTGTCAAGTTCACTTGCTTTCTTTATAGATAATGAAAGTGAGGTTCAGAAGCATGAAGGGATTGTTCAAGGACACACAGCTATGAGTGGTAGATCAGAACAGAAACCCAGGGTTCAAGCTTTTAGTTCAGTGTCCTATCAGGATGATTAAATGAAAGAAAGAAGGAAGGAAAGAAGGAAGGAAGGAAGGAAGGAAGGAAGGAAGGAAGGAAGTAAAGGAAAGAAAGAAGGGGCAAGGGAGGGATAGAGGAAGGAAGGGAGGGAGGGAGAGAGGAAGGGAGGGAGGGAGAGAGGAAGGAAGGGAGGGAGGGAGAGAGGAATGGAGGGAGGGAGAGAGGAAGGGAGGGAGGGAGAGAGGAAGGGAGGGAGGGAGAGAGGAAGGGAGTGAGGGAGGGAGGGAGGAAACACCGAAGAGTTAAATGCACAAAGCAGGCTTCTTATTAGTCAATTGAGCTGGGTCTGTAAGCTTCAAACACTGGGCATGACATCTCAGGCTTCATCCATGGGCTGAAAGGACCCAGTTTCCAAAGCCCCACCTCAGTAGCCATCAGTCACACTGTTTTCATCTGGAAAGCCTAGGCCAACACCCATCTCTGTGTGTGATCAGACCTCTCTGCCCAGGCAGTATCTGGGCTCCAGGACACATGGCACCGTTCCACCTGAGGGCTAGGACCTCCTCAGCAACCAGAAGCTTCACATTTCTGGGTTGGGAAAGCAGAAGACCAGACACTAAGTTGGCCATTGCCAGCATTAAGGAAGGAAGCTTTGCCAGGAAGTTCAAATGTCAGGGACCTAGTTCCTACAGACCCTCCCACACCCTGGGACAGACTTCAAAAATAATTCCTATCATCTTTTGATTTTGAAACATTTTCAGAAAAAAAAAATTGCATCATAATCAATTAAGACAGCTGTCTGTTTCCACTTTAACTTCTGCTCCACCACAATTCCCTTTGTGTTAGGTGTTGTTGAATGGGGGTGAGTGTTTGGGGGATGATATATAGAAGGGAAAGTTGAATTAGAGATGCATTTACTTATTATTTAGTGGAAACAGTTAAGCGGTTCATAGTCACATGTATAATGTGTAATGTTATCGTTTTCCACTGTAGTGTAGTAATGGCTTCCAGAAATACTCCTGTTGCCTGCTGTGTAAACTCATCCAGTGTCTTGACAAGAAGGTGCAATGTCCACCTTGTATCAGGGCATGAATAAGGCCTGTGGTACTTGACATGGCAGCTGTACAAGTGGTGGACAAGAAACAAGGCTCGAAGGTAGGACTCTGAAGCTAGTCTACAGTTTGTGAAGTTATAAGTGGAGCATTCAGTTCTTGTCAAAATGCAAGTTCTCTGCTATCAGAATACACAGAATTTCCCAACATATACAATCATAAATGCACCGTACAGTTTTTATGGGAAACAAGTGAAACAAAACATATCACAATTTCTGTGTTTGTAGGGCATGTTCTTGTTGCAGTACTAAAAACTAAAAGAAAAATGGGTGCGCTTGTGTATGAGGTGGGTTTTTGCATTTTACGCATTTCAGCCAATAAAAAATAGATTTTGATCAACCATGCTAGCCCAAAAACTAAATTATCTTTCTGTTTTCTATTAAAGATTATATATAAAATCCATTGTCATATCAAAAGGCAATCAAAGGGAATACAGCCAAACGTGTAGGAAAAAGTATAAAGCAGCTCATTAAAAAACATGGTGTAACTTTTTTGGTATTGAATAATGTTGAAGGACTTTCAACATTTAAACATTTGCAATTTCTGGTGATTTATTTTTTTTTAATTTTAGATAAATGTTTACTTCATTGCTACTTATAATAATATCTTCCTCTTCCTCTGGCCCCTGACTGTCATTTAAACTTCAGCCTTACAAAACCTGTATCTGCACCCTGAGTGGGGGCAAATAAAAAGAGGAAGGGTGGGAGAGACAGAGAAAAGAAAGGTAGAGACAGGAGGAGAGAAGAAATGTCCCACAGGACAGAGTCAGTCTCCATGGGATCAACCAGTTTGAATGTGACTTGACCTCTGAGTAAGATTTTTATCTCCCAGCAGACAAATGGCCATTTGCTATTTTTCTCTGACTCTGCTTTGCATCTCATTTTCCCTGCAGGAAAAGCAGGGAAGTCTGATTGGGAGTTCATTTTCTGATTCCAGTGCCTAGATATTTGAAGACATGAAGTAACGTCCATTTTGTTTGGTCTATGGGCTGGATAATCCATCAGTTACTTCTTTAATTGGCTTTCTTAGTGGTAAACACCCTCATTTTTCCCCATTGCCAGGCAAGAGTCTGTAGGATTTTGAGGCATCCCATGAGAAGAGTGGCAGCAAGATAAAAGAGATTCAGCTAGCAAAATAAAAAAGCAGGCTTTTAAAACTACGGATCTACAGTATATCAGGGAAAATATGCATTGACATTATCATGCTTCAGTTTCTATTGGCTTTGGTATGACAATCCATCTCTCAGATTTATTCTAAAGAATAATTTACTTAGTAGGTATTCTTGACATTATGAAATGTTCCTTCCTGAATTTCCTTGCGCTCCTTAAGATATTATTACCAATGGGAAAAACAGGGTGTACTTACATAATGAAAGTGTGCACCACCCATTCTATTCTACTCTGGCCAAACAGAATTGTATGTCTGAAAGCACATCTTGTGTCTGAAAGCACATGTCTATCGATGGGAACCTTGCCCAAATCACAGTGGCTTCACCTGGCTCCTTAGCTCAACTTGAATTTATTAACTAATTATGAAAAAAGATAACAGAAATTTTGATTCTACAAAGCAACCACCATGTCTGGAAGATAGACAAAGACACAATGAATGATTTGCTGATATTATATGAACATACATGACAAAATAACATTGTCTGCCTCAAGACTTTACGGGCACTTTGGATTACTGCAAGAAAAGGGCAGGTTTGCAGCTCAACACTGCAGCATGCAAAGGGTTAACACCACATGGCATTGGGCTGATGGAAGATTGTAGAGTGTGAGTAAGATTTTCAGATATGAGCAATCACAGGGTAAAGAAATATTCCCTAAGGTTGGGCAAAAGAACATGAAAGAAGATAAGAACTGTCATCCTTTGGCCTCGTGCCAGGAACTGAGACAGCTGCCATATGGAACTCTGAACCCACTCAGCGAAACTCGGTGTTGCTCTGAAGTTCTCTGAATATGAAAATAATGTCGCAGCTTGATGAAGAAAGGACAGAAAAGGCCTCCTCAGGGAATTCTTATTCCATGCCTGTGGTTTCTCTGGAAAAGACAATTCCATGCTTCATTATCTCCCTTAGTCATGGCCTACTTGACTGTAAGAAAGAAATCCATTCAAACTGGCAAAAGTAATGGAATAATATTCAGCAAAAGAATAAATAAAATATTGCTGTATGCAACTACATGGTGAATTCCACAAGCATCATGTTAAGTAAGAGATTCCGAAGACTAAATTATTCCAAACGAAAACTATAGGATTCCATTTATCCAATAATGCAAAACTAATCTACAGGGTAATAACTAAGGAGAGGCCATCATAGTTGTCTGGGTGGCATGGACAAGAGCTGGAGAAATAGAAATAGAGACTAGTATATGGCCCATCTTGAGAACAAGATGGCAGTTCTCAAAAAAGGGGGTTGTGAGTGAGGAAGGCAAGGCAAGGACTGTCTCCTGCTTTGTCAGATTTCTTTCCTGAGCAAAAGCAGGAAGTGGAGGTGGTGCCAAGTAGCACCTTTTGGCCCAAGGTGAAGAGCCTTTTTATCTGTACAAGCTCCTGCCACCATTGCCCCTTTCCTCTCATTTGTCAAACAAGTCTGAAGGAGCTCTTCTGTTTTACAGCCCACCAAATGCTGTGCTCTGAACAAAGGGAGTGGGTACCCTCAGATAATCTAACAATCCAGTTTGAAAAAAGAGAACACTAGAAAGTTTACAAACTGAAGCAAAATAAGTAGAATTTAACATTCCCTCCTGAGTGAGTAGCAGAATCAGTCTGAGAAAGTTATACCATATTGAAGGGTTACACTTCAGAGAGAGAGAAAGACACACACACTACACACACAGAGAGAGAGAGAAAAAGAGAGATTTATTGTGGCCCTAGAAACGACATTAATAATTCATAAATATTTCATAAGTTTTCACAGTAAATATAAACCATTTACATAGATGTATCTGCTCTTCACACATGCTTTAGAACTGGCAAGGAAGCATAAAAGACCCCATGAAGGTAAACAAAGGAAAAAATATTGGTATGATGAAGGAGAGTGGTAGAAGAAAGAGTAAGCTACCAGCTATAGAAGTACCTTGGTGGACCCAGTGACTAAAAGTGAAAGATATATCAATAATGTACAAATCTTCATAAACAATTGCACACATGCTCTGTTAGCAAATGAGCGTTCCACCAATATGCCCTCCCACATTATGGCTGTGAATAGATCTTCATAGTTGGGTGAGGAGTGGCAATTAGGAGTAGGGGATGGAGGGTAGAGGTCACAGTGGATTACTAAATTGTGGCTTAACGTTGAATTAAAAAAAACCCAGACCAATAGGCTAGACCCAGGCCCATGACATTCTGCATCTGCATGTCTTTTAAACCACTAGCAGGAAGATGCTGGGGTGTCAAGAGTGGACCCCTCAGGAGCCAAAAAGTTTTGGCAGCAGACAGCAGAAATCTCAGAACTACCGAAAAGTGTAAGACTTGAGAACAAATATTGCAACCAGTGTGCTGGGTTATTTGTTGGTTTGCTCTTAAATCCTTCCCCTGCCCTTCCTTTGCAAGCTCCATTTCCTGGACTCTCTTGCCAAGTGGCTTCTGGCTTGGTTTAGTCAACGAAAACCACTGGAGAGATTGGAGGACAGACAGAAGGAAGAAGCCAGGTTTTTATTCCTTTTCCTCTGTGTTTCAGGCATGGGCTCTGGCAGGGGCTGTGTCTCCAGCTTGGTTCCTGATCCCAACAGGAAACCTCTGCTATTAATGAGCTCCTATGGATGGCTCTGATTCTTGGGTTCTAATTACTCCAATTATTCCCTTTATCCCTCTTGTCCTACTAGCAGTAGTAGTGAATTCAAGCTGTTGCCTTATTGGCCTTTGGTTTTTTACTACCTTCAACACCACTGTATCTAGTTCCCCATATTAAATTCCTTCTACCTGAGTACCTGGAATGACCTCTGTGCTCCTGAGTGAACTTTGACTGATCCAACCAGAAAGCCCTTCTTCTGCTGGATAATTGTGTTTATTGGGCTATTCCCCCACAGGAATTTCCATTCGGAGTTATTGGAAGAAGGAGGCCATGGAGGATCGCATAGAATTCCACAGTAACTGTTTCTGTATTTTTAAAGAGAGTTAGACAGTACTAGGAAAGGCATCAAAGATCACTGGGTAAAGTGGCAGATGGGCTTGTGAGAGGAACAAAAGATTCTGGCTCCTACACTGGGAAGAGGGAAAGACACCTTACAATAGGCAACCTATGCTAGACACCATTGGGTACCAGAAGTATATGATTTTGTAAGGAGTGTAAAAGCAAGTGATGCAGGCAGGGAATAAAATGAACTGTGACTCAGAACACACTAGGGAAATGTGAGAATAGACTGTCTCAAACACAGGAACACAACAGAACTACATCAGCTTAGAGAGTCATTGCCTTGAGGTGGTTCATGAGAGAAGGCTGAGAATTTGAAGTCACTGTTACGAAGCTCTCCCAAACTGCTTATGTCCTTCCCATGGCTGCTACTTTAGCTCCTGCAGGTGGCAGAGCGCTTCCCAACCTGATTACAAATTGTCCATTACAGGAAGGAGAAGTCCTAAAATCAGGTCCAACCATCTCTTCATTTGTGATGTGTCTCCACTAGCCAGGCTAGTCCTAGGCCATCTTTCCCACAGATTCTCCATTTATCCTTTCCATCATCTGCTCTTTATTGTGGAAGAAGGAGGTTGATCCCATCAGGATGAATTTTCCAGCATCTCACATTATCTTGCTTCTGGATGGGTTTGGCCCATGGGAGCCACTACTAAGAGACCAGAGAGTGAGAGGAAGGAAAAAAATAATAGTATTTCTCCCCCACTTTTACCCCTTCTCCATTTTGGGCAGCACCCCTGCCATGGCTGCATTTTCTTGTTGGTTTCAGCTCTTTCTCGCAGTGGTTCTATCTTTCACCATGTGATCCCCGTCCTTAAGCACCAGTAAAACCACCTCTTTCCTCTGTCCTTCCAGCCAGGAGGTGGTAGAGGATTCTAACCTTTGCTAATTCCCGGGTTGCCTCTTGTACCTTGTGTGGCTTCCAGAGCTTCCATCATCTGAGTAACTAATTTCTTGTATTGTATTTTTTCTGTTTCAAATACTCAAGTGGTTTCTTATCCCTAGTTTGACTTTGACTGATACAGTAACACTATTTAGATGTTACAAAGGCCAGAGAGAATTAAGCCAAGTAAAGTAGTAACAGGCAACTACAGTTCTTGACCTCAGATCCAAAAAGCTAGGTTTATACATTTTCCCTGAAGTTGACTATATGGCTAATTTTCTTCCTTCAGTCCTCCAAGCCAGAAAGCATCAAAACAAGAAGTTATCAGAAAATTTTATAATATGAGGGTTTTCTCTTCCTATATCTGAGAATTAAAAGGATTAAAATCAATTTTTATTACTACTTCTCTATTTCATTAGTAAGTGCATGGTAGAAGTTCAAGGTTTAGAGCACTTAGGTAGCTGTGGCTCTATACTGCTCAGCAGGTTAGATTTTTAAGGTTTCAAATCTTACCTGTTCAAAAAGAGAATATCTCTCATGTCCACTCTGTCTTGCTTAGCACAGATTTCTGCTTGACTGACTTCCAATAGCAGAACAAATCCCTAGCCGATGAAAAAAACCTCATGTAAACTCATCATAAAGTCTTGACCACCTAGCAGAGAGAAGATGAAGAAACTTCCAGTCTACAATGATATGAAACACTTTTTTGTGTAAAGCTCTGGGAATGGAGGGATGGAGAGAAAAATGGAAGATAGAAAGTTGGGAGAAAAGCAAGCAAGTGTTGTAGGGAGTCTCAAATGACCAGGCTGCATGATCAAATGCAGAAATAATAAAAAAACTAGGCATCTTGTGGTGTGAGCCCAATAAAAGATGGTAGGTAACAGAAACCTATCAGCTTCATCTGCAAGAAGACTAGGGGAAACTCCAAGATAAGCTCAGAATCTTCCCTTAACAAGAGCACCCAAGTTCCTTTCACTATTGTGAGCACTAAGAATTAAGGCCATTGGAGAACTTCACCCATGCAAACGATCCTTCTCTGGCTTGAGAAAAGATGGATCATGAGCTTTTGGGGAAAAGGTTTGAAGTTCCAGGCTGGATCCAACCCAACCAATTGGGAGCAGTGAGGGTGGAAATAGGAGGAGGGATAGAGCTGGTAATTCAGTGTTCAAAGCATGGACTTTGCAGATTCCCCAACTGCCCGTAGAATGGGATGAGAGGTGGAGGATAGAGCTATTAGCTAGGAGTAAGTAGTTTCCTTCCCATATCTGGGTTGTGGGCTAAGCACAAAGGGCTTTTCTACCTTTTGGGAAACGTTCTAAGAGTCTTGTTGGTTAGAGAGCAATTTAAGAGATATCTGAAATAACGCCAGTTTATCCCAGTCTCATAGTCTGAATGTGGTACTAATTATGGTGGTGTTGAGAATTTCAAGATTAGAATGTGTGTGGAACACAGAAACACTAAAAATGATTGGTGATTACACCAGCTTCAGGTTTAAAATATATAAGAATGCCTGACAGAGGAGACAGAAGTTCCCAGCATCAGCTGTAAGTACTGGATATTACAGGCGACCCTTGCTGAATAAGATAAAGATACTGTTTTGAGTCAATGTTAGGTCTTTCCAGTGTGCCCTTCAGCAAGCATGGCTAAAACTACCCCTGGGAAGGTATCAGGTGTGCTTCATCCCAGCGAGGATTGTGGGACACCAGATGTAGCTGGGTCTAGGAGAAATTTCTTCCCCCAACTCTGGTGGCACCACACTGATGTTCACTGAAGTATTATAAAGTATCTTATCAGTGATTACACTCTTATGGCTAAACTGCCTACAATTTGTGTTTTAAAATACAGAATTCTCCAGGTTGCTTTTTTCTACAGGGAAACCACTAGGAGTAGCCTCAGAAATAGAGGTGTCCTCAAAACCATTTGAAGAGAAATGCAGGACAGCCAAGAAACCAGAATTTATGCTAGTGGATATTCTATTGGGAATTTCTTGCCTTAAAGTAAGCTGTTGTATTTAAGTATTTATAATTCACCTTGCAAAATATGTATGGATAACAATCTCTCCTGTATATCCTCACTAATGTTAAGAAGAACATTATGAAGCAGCGTAATGAATTATCATCTCTGAACCTCTTACTAATCGGAGTGAAACAGTAGAGACACAGACATTCTGTCCGGTAAGTCCCATCACCTGGCCACTGACACCACATCTAACAGATGTTTCAGAGGGGCTTCTACTTCTGGAGACCACATAGCCTGGAGCGCCCTCTGTAGGCTTTAAGCCTTCTCTTGCTATCTCAGATGGTCCAAAGGGGCTATATAGGACTTAGTGAGATAATTTGGAGCTATATATAGTCAACAGCAGAGGAAAAGAGATGGTCAGATGGTAAGACCAGTTTCAGAGGTTGTAAGAATAGAATTGCAAACGGTAAGAATTTCATGAATGGTATAGGGTACTAAGGAGCCCTGCAAATTGTTGAAGTGCTTGGTACTGAACCAAAACACACTCTCCCATACTTGAGAAGGTCATGTACAGTGGAGCGAATTAAGTTGTGATTTTGCCCGAAATGGTAAAGGACATAAGCAAAGTGGATACTTATTCTTGATAAGTTCATTAGAAATCACAGACTACCAAAGTAACCTAATTAGAGGTAATTGAGACCAAAAAAAAAAAAAAAAAACCTCACAGAATTATTATGTATTGACTTTTTAAAAATTTTTATAAATTTTAACTTTTTAAATTCAATTCAATTTTAAAAATTATCATGCAGTAAAATTGACTTTTACTTTTTTTCTTTTGGTATATAGTAATATGAGTTTTAATACATATATAGATTAATATAACCAACACCACAATCAAGATTCAGAAAAGTTCCATCACCTCGAAAAAGTTTCTCATGCTACCTCTTTGTAGTCATACTTTCCAACTACACCTAATCTCTGGCAGCCTCTAATCTGTTCTCTATCCTTATAGTCTTCTCTTCATGAGAATTATAGTCTTCTCTTTATGAGAATTTTATATAAATAGTATTATATAATGTGTAATATTTGAGACTGACTTTTTTTCATTCAACAGAATGCCTTTAAGATACATTCAAGTTGTTTCAGGTACAATAGTTCATTTCTTTTCATCCCTGAGTAGTATTCCATTGTATGGATGTACCACAGTTTCTTTATCACCTGCTGAAGTATCTCTGGGCTGTTTACAGCTTTTGGCAATTATAAATAAAGCTGCTTTAAGTATTCACATGCAGAGTTTGGCATGAACATAAAAGTCTTCATTTCTCTAGGGTAAATACCTAGGAGTGAGACGGCTGAGTCATTGATAAGTGTATGTTTAATGATATAAGAAAGTGCCACACTATTTTCCAGAGCTGCTGTGTCACTTCGCATTTCCATTAGCAATGTGTGAGAGTTCCAGCTTTTCTACATCCTTGTCACACTTGATATTGTCAGTACTGTTTATTTTAGCCATCTAATAGGTGTGTAGTGGTATTTTATCACAGCTTTAATTTGTATTTTTAATGGTTAATGGTGTCAAACAACTTTTCATGTGCACATTTACCATCTCTATTATCCCTTTTGGCTCAAAGGAGATATAAGTTCAAATCTGTTCAGTTTTTATTAAGTGTGTGTTTGTTTTCTTAATATTGAGCTTTGAGAGTTCTATGTATATTCTGGGTGCAAGTCCTCTGTCCAATATATGATTTGCACATAATTTTCACAATCCATGGCTTATCTTTTCAATTTCTTAATGGTGTCTCTTGAAGCAAAAAGAAAAATTCAATTTTAATAAAGTCCAATTTATTTTTTCTTTTATGAGTCATGCTTTTGGTCTCACGTCTAAGAATGCTTTGCGGAAATGTCCATTTTGCTCCAAATTAAAAAGATTTTCTCCTATGTTTCCTTCTAAAAGTTTCTATTGTAGCTGTCTGCAATAAAAGAATTAGGCAAAAATTATCAAGTGTATTCTGTGATATTCAACTGATGATATGGAATTTATAATAATTATAATACCAAATTATGTATTTTAGTTATTCTAACTTGTTAATTCCTTTTATATCAGTAAAATTTATAATAAAACATATATATACTTTATTACAAAGTATATATACCACACCCACACATATATGTGTGTGTAGTGTGTGTGTATACATACACTTTTTCTGGAGAGCTGTTTACTAAACATTTGCCAACACAACACTCTTCTGAGAGCACTACTGTAAGGTACACACTGGTGATTTTAAGCTTGGATTTTGCATTTTGGCACAACTAGATTCTACTTCTATGGGCACTATTTACTGGTTGTTTAACTTCATGTGAGTTAAGCTTTCTAGACCATGGTTTAATTATATGTAAAATAAGTAAATGGGCATAACACTGACTTGGCAGGTTGTTTTGCAGATTAAATCATCTAAGTTTTTTGCATAGGGCTTAGCACAATACCTGGCACACAACAGGTTTTCAATAAATGGCAATTAGTATATATTGGACCATATTTCAAAACCTGATGTTCATAAATGATCCCATTAGGTTGTATAAGAAAGACTGTTTGGTCAAATATATTTTATTTAAAAAGATAAGAAAGAAAGCAATATGTTTTAGACTTAACCACCGTGATTTCAACTAATGTTGTTAAAATTAAAATTTAACTTAAGTACTTAAAAGAGTATGTAGTATATAGAAGCTGCCTAGAAAAATCCCTTTGGCAAACAACTATAAATTACTTCTGTAGATTTTATGGTTCACAAAGTGTGTTCTAACAAACTAACCTCATCAGCTCTCCACAACCAACAGAACCCACTTGACTATAAGCATTTCTGCAGCTTCTGATCCAATAAGGAGCTCTTTTTGTTTTACGGTAAACCAGAAGTGACTTTTCCTTGCCTTTATACAGCAGATTAAAGCTGCCCTAGGACTTTTTGACCTCAAGGGAAGCTGACCGGCTCAAGGGAATTCTAAGGAACTCCTCTCCCTGCTGTCGTTATTAACCTGTAACCAGCAAGGGGGCTGCTTTTCCTGTTTGCCAACTGCCTTTGTACCAAAATGTTCCCTCCCCTCAGACACCCTCTGAGCCTCACTATCAAATGAGAACAAGATAACAGGAAGTGAGGAAAACTGGTCTGTGCTGTGGTCAACAACACAGAGGTTAATGTGTCACTAAAGAAAGTTTCAAAAAGACAACATTTAAGATAGCGCAGTCCTTCCCCATGGTTTAGAACAGTTTCAGGACTTTGTGCTAGTTGTTCTTATGCAGAAATACTTTCCTAACAGTCATGTGAAACAAATACACTGATGTATGGATTTGTTTGTATTTGTGTTTGAGTTTGTATGTATTTGTATATATCCATAGCCATACTTATCCATATATATACATATTATGTGTGTCTATGTTAAAAAGACATTTTAATGTTGTTTCTTTTACATCAAGCACAAAGGATTCCCTATTTGATATGTGTGTTTCCTAGAGCATATATTTAAAGATTACTTTGCCCCTGGGCAATAAAGGCTTAGCCAAGGCTTACTTACTTTTTGCTTATACCAAGTGTCTAAGAAGAAACTAGGTTGACCTCTGGATGCTGTATATACACTCTGGATATGATATAGTCAACTTTTATCTATAATAAACAGGATGTGAATTATGGAAAAAATATTGTTTCTATTTGACTTTAGATATATTATATAACTTGCTTGGCAATAAATTGTCTGTTCTTGTGGGCATCTTCCTCTGGTTATATGGTTATTGTCAATGACTAGCATTGAAAATAGACACCCAGAAATATTCAAGCAGTGCATAATACAGTGGGACAATGATCACTGAGGCAGTATAGCTCTTGTAAAACAGCAGAGAATTACATTAGCTTTTTAGGTGGTTAATAAATAATTGAATTTGTAGACAACTAAAACTTTCATGCTTTGGCATTGAAGTAATAGCCCCAACATTACTTATGTAACTGAGATTTTGATGTCAATGTTAAACTTTCCTTCTATTCTGATTAAATTTAATTGTGTTAGTTTAAGCCCACTCCAGTAGCTTATTGAAATCTTTTGAACCTTCTTCCTGTCAATATTATTAATAGCTACATCTCTCAGTTTTGTGCCACCTCTAAACTGAATAATCATGTTTTAAAAGATGTTCATTATTTTTGTCTATTCAAAATCCCCTTTTTTTGTAAGAAAACCTCAATTTTTTTTAGTACTATGTCTTCTCTTCTCTTTATCCAGGTGGTTTGAGGGGAGCTTACTTAGCCCCCTGGCTCCATGGGTGGGTATGTGATTTTGGCTTGACTAATCGGAACACTTCATCAACTTGGACTCTGGTAATTGATTCAAGATTGAACACATATACCAATTCAGACAATAAGAGTCATCTCAGGGCTTCTGCTGGGAAAACTTTCCTTGTCTGAAGTTGCCAACCTGATGGAATGTAAGAATAGAGTCATGGAGCCATCCTTAACACCATATGGAGATGGTTTTATAGCATAAAGGCAACAGAGAGGAAGCAGAGCCAAGAGACAGTGAGAAAAGGACAACATTTTTATCACATTGGTCAAGTTTCATAATCCAAGCTGTGCTTGCAGCCTCACTTCAGAAATTTTCTGGTTGAATTTCTGTCACTTGCAACTACAAGAGTCTTAACTCTTTTATTTTTCTCACTCAAGTGATTATTATAATGTTGAACTGGAAAAGATTATAGCACTCTTGGTCCAGAGAGCAATCCTCACTGAGATTCAATAATGGTTTTAATATTCTACCAGCCATGAACATATACCACCTGCCAGCTTCCATTTTTCTATCTTTTTGCAAGGGTATCATGAGAAACTCTTCTAAGGACCTTGATGAATGAATCACATACATGGCATCTACTTGTCCAAAAACACTTTTTAAAAATGAAAGAGGCAAGTATGTCATGAATCCAACCTATTTTTCAATTGTTGAGGACAATTGCCAATATTTTTGTGGTCTAGAATCCTGTTTTCTTTCCAAAATGCACACTGATTTCCTTTTAGAGAATGAACTGTAACCCTCTACTTCTGTAGGCTTGGCAGACAGGCAAACCCAGCTTCCTTCCTCAGACCATGATGGCCCAAGAATCCAGAACCACTCTTTATCTGCCCTGATAGAACAAAAGCACAGCTTGGGTATAGGCTTGGCCAATCAGAGCTTCTCTCCTGAGACTGAATTTTGAATAGTCAACATTAGGATCAAGGATATGGTTGTCTGTTCTTTTTAATTATGGAGCACACACCAGCGTTTTCTTTCTGCAAGATGGGCCTTCTAACTTTCTGATTCCTGTAAACTAACTGATAGATAAAATACTACTACTTGTTTTTCTAAGAATTCATAAACCTTCTGTTTAATAACCAAATCTAAAATTGTTCCAGGAATTTCTTTAATTCACTGGTTGCTCTAACCCATATTTTTTTCTCCTTGAAAATGTGGAGACTTTTTATCTTTCCTGGTATGTAGGAACCTCTTTAATTATTTATAAAATTTCCCAAAGACTGGTGACAGAGATTCTGTATGCCACATGCAGCACTCTCATACTCCTGGATGGATTTCACTTGAAGATTTGAGTCCGTTAAAGAAATGTTATGATATCTTACTGGGTTCTTCTCTAACTTTGCTTCAACTGACTTAGGATAATTTTCTAAACCTTTTAAACTTTAGAGATTATTATTTTTTTTTTTCAAGAAAAAGAAAGAAGAATAGAAAGGTAGGCTGGGCACGATAGCTTATGCTTGCAATCCCAGCACTTTGGGAGGCCAAGGCAGGCGGATCACTTGAGCTCAGGAGTTTGAGACCAGCCCGGGCTACATGGTGAAACCCCATCTCTAACAAAAATACAAAAATTTAGCTGGGCATGGTGACATGTATCTACGGTCCCAGCTACTTGGGAGGCTGAGGTGGGAGGATCACTTGAGCCTGGAGGGTGGAGGTAGCAGTGAGTTGTGATCATGCCACTGGGTGACAGAATGAAACTCCATCTTAAAAACAAAATAAAACAAAAGAATAGAAAGGTTAGCTATTGCTCCAACCTGAAATAAAAGCTTTTACCTCAGTCATACTGAGTTTATCAATGACTTGTTAACCTTGAGCAAGTTTGCCTAATCATGGTAAGGTTGTTCAAGTTTTTAACTCATAAATTGGAGATAGCTCTACTTTACATGGTTTGCTAAAGGAAATAGATATGGCAGACATTCACTATATGCAAGTTCCTACTCTCCTGTCCCGCAAGCAGCATGTTTCTGATGTCTGCCTTCTACACACATAGTTCTCAAGGCCTTTCTCTTGGATTTAGGGCTTCCTTCAAGACATAAAACATTCTAGGATTCAGCTTTCCCTTGTTTAAGACTGGGCCGGCAATAGCTGTTATCTCCTTGGTATGTGCTTTTAGTTATAAATTCTGATTTCAGTGAGAAGTTCCCTAAGAATTTAGATATAAGAAGAATAAGTTTGGACAATTGAGAGCTTACATGATGTAAAATCACTAAGGAAGGACCAAAGCAAAGATCAGCAAAGCCATCCTTGCACTGCTGCATTATGTGCCTCTTAGGCCAGTGGTTTCCATACTTTGGGATTTCATAAATCAGTTTAAAAATAAAATAAAATCCAGGGTTGCCAGTTATAAATTTGCCAAGTAAGGACATGAGAACTACAAATAATAAATTATTATCAAGGATGACATCCCTCCCCCCATGGACCAGCAAATAAGGTGGCTCCATGGTAAGCATTTAATCAAACCCTTATAAGCTGTGATGTCAAGTCTCTGTTAGTCTTTGTGGTTTGGAAGAGCAACAATGGGATATATAGCTGAGCATGACAAGTTTCCTATTTAAGAAAAATCCAAGCAGTCACAATTTTAAAATGGGTGTGGATAGAAGGCTGAGGTGTTGAGGATGTAAAGGAAGTAACCTTATTTCACATAATAAAGAGAAGATCTTGTGGCCAAGCTTGTTTGTAGAGAGGCAGCCTTGCTCATTATGGGGTGGTGGAGGAGTGCCTTTCTTTGTGCTTATGAACTCAGTTCATAAGTTGTAAACTGGTTGACTAGGGGCCTAATCTGCTGTGAATTGTTTTGGCCTACATGTTTTTAAAATTGAATATTTTTAGACCAGTATGAGAATACTTCTTGGCTCAACCAAAATTATATTGCTTTTTATATTCTAGTTGTTCCACTTCACTCATCGATATTGCTGTTCAGGCCCTTAAGTATATGACTCTTCTCCACATAGTTTAGAGCAGGCATTGATCAACTATGTCTGTAAAGGGCCAGATAATGAATATATTAGACTTTGTGAACTATACAACCTCTATTACGACTACTCATCTTTGCCATTGTAGCACAAAAGCAGCCATAGCAATAGGTAAATTAGTGGGTGTGGTTGTGTTCCAATAAAATTTCATTTACAAAAGTAGGGAATGATTCAAGTTTGGCCCCAAGGTCCACAGTTTGCTAATCCTTGGTGTAGATGAAAGACTTTTTTGATACTGTTCAATTTTAGAAAATGTTTTGTGATATTAGAAGATATATGTGAATATGTATGCCAGTCTGATTGGTTAATCAGAAGGATAAATGGGATGTATCTCTAACTCATCTGATTGGATTTTTCAACTGGACCTGTGTGTGTCCATGGCTGCCTTGAACAACTTACTATAACCCTTTACGCCAGGGTGTTATTCTAAGCTGAATAAATCAGATTTAGGAAAATGCAATGTAATTGATAGAGGTCTGTGATATTGTAAAATACATATTTGATCTTTGATCCAATTTCTTGGCATACAACTCCTAAAATCCTTGGAATCTCCAAGGTGATGTTTTTTGCTAGTGTGTTGACTGATGACTGGCAGGCTCTAGGTTGCTTCAGGATGGGGGCTGGTAACAAGGAATAACAAGGCAGGGTTAGAGGATTGGGACTTTCAGCCCCACCCCTAAACTCTGGGGAGAGGTGGGAAGAGTGGCTGAAAGTTAAGTTGATCATCATTGACCAATGGTCAATGGTTAAATAAAATATGCCTATGTAATGAAGCCTCCATAAAAGCACAAAAGGACAGGGTTTGGGGAGCTTCCAGATAGCTGAACACATAGAGATTCCTAGAGGGTGCCATGAAGCTCTATGCCCCTTTTCCCATACCCCACTCTATGCATCTCTATGTCCTTTGTAATACCTTTATAATAAACTGGTAAATGTAAGTAGATGTTTCACTGAGTTCTATGAGCTGCTCCAGCAATTTAATTAAACCCAAGGGAGGTATTGTGGAACCCCAACTTGAAGCTGGTGGGCCAGACATTCAGAGGCCTAGACTTGAGACTATCATCTGAAGGAGGGGCAGCCTTGTGAGACCGAGCCCTCAACCTGTGGATTCTGACGCTATCTTCAAGTAGACAGTGTCAAAATTAAATTGGAGGATACCCCGTTGGCGTCTGCTACAGAATTGACTGCTTGCTTGGTGTGTGGAGAAAAACCCATACACATTTGGTCACAGATGTCTTCTGTGTTGATTGGTGTGAGAGCAGAGAAAAAATAGTTGGAGTTGTTTTTCCACTCACAAGGTCATCATGAAGAAGAATGCATAAAAATAGAATTTAGAAAAAGCAGTATTTTGAAGAAAGGCCTCAATTTAAAATCAGGAAAGTAAGGTTAAGTAAAACAGACATCCTTAAGGAGAGATCACATAAGGAATTTAATTCACCAGTAGCTTTTCTCTTGAGCCCCATAGACATCATATTTAATGTGAAATTTTGTGTCTTTCTTCATCTATTATTATTTTTAGAGATCTCAAATCCTCAGGAAAACTCATTTGGGTCAGACTATTAGAGTTCGCTATTAGAGTGAACTGAAGTATGACCTTTCCAGGACAAGCTAATAATACAGCTGCCATTTATGATTCTCCCTCATTTTCCCCTTCTGTAGTGGTTTCAGAGGCCATGTGTTGAAGATGGCAGAGCTACAAGATGGAAAAAGCCTGAGTATCCGAGGTAGCTCATGGAAGAGATCCAACTAACAGAGCTGCCCAGAAGTTTACATGAGTGAGAAATAAATTTTTATTATGTTAAGCTGCTGAGATTTGAGATGGAATGTTTGGCAGCTCATCTTCCCTAATACATGGATATACAGCTACAACTTTGTATGTTTGTGGAATGGAGAATAAAAGAACAGATCAAGAAGGAAACAATTAAAATCTATGCAAAAGGAGAGGCAGCCAACTAAGGGGCTCTAATCACAATCTACTTGGAAACAATTATAATCTGTGCAAAAGGAGAGGCAGCCAACTAAGGGGCTCTAATCACAATCTACTTGCATCATAGTTCATGTGGATATAGGGGCTGGACAAGACAGTAAGGAACAACTGACGGGTGGATATATAAAGACACTCAGGAAAGATGACTGTTGAAGGGGAGAAGGTGATGTATGATATGCCTACACAAACAAAGTGAAACACGTGTGTCGGGGTTTGTATATGTGTGTCTTTATTTTTCTCATTTTCCCATAGATGATTAAAAACTTCATCGGGGTGAATTTCTGTTTAGAGAAGTATTTGGAAACAATCTCATGCCAACTGAATGGTTTTTACAGAAGGGTTTAATCAGTCATGGAAAAGAGAAAGAAAAGAGAAACAGAGACCATCATCTCTGCTCAGCACCTTCCAGGGAAGAGAAGGACATGATCAGTCATCTTTGGGTATATCCCCTCCCACAAGCAAGAATATCCTTTACATAAAAGTGGATGCGGGAAGTGGCTAGCCAATGGACTTTTGGTGGTCCCGTCCTTTTGACAAAACCATTCTCACTGTAATGTAGATGAATCAGGCTATTTTAGCTGTCGTTAAATATTTAATTCATCCAGTTCCTCTTGTTCTGATTCCAGAATGTACAGGTCATGATTACCTCAAAGTTCCTGTCTCCTCAATATTTATAGTATTCATTATAAATTGTAATTGGCATTTTATTTTTATGCCATTTTATGAGTTGGAATAACAATCTTTAGCGCTGAAAGATGGAATTGCCCTCAATGAATTAGCAACTTCAGTTTCTTAGTTTGCAAAGTTGAGTTCTACACTCTAGACTGTGGTGCTTTCACCAAAAAAGCAAAAGCTACCCAAAGGATTGTTTAGCAGACAGCCTTTTCCCCCATGTCTTACATAAAGTATACACCACACATATCTGATATGAGCAGTTTTTATTTGCTTTTCTATAGTCTTGTTTTTCCACATAATCTTCATCATTGGGAATGCTTCAGTTGCATGTAACAGAAAATCCAACTTTAAACATTAAGGAACTCCACAATTATAAAGTTATCAGTTACAGATGATCCCTATAGGTCTTTGGGGCTCTATATATGATCATTGCTTCTCTCACCAAGAAGGGGCTGCATAATTGGGTTTACATAAATAAAACGTGGGTGAAGTGAGACATGATCTTTCCAGGGCAGGATGGAACAGCTGCCATTTCCTTTCCTACTGAATCTGGGCTGGCCTTGTAGTATGCTTTGACCAATTGAATGTGCTACATGAATGGTCTGGTACTTAAGAATCCTGACAGCTTTCTGTTTCACCCCTTTTCACCTTTCTGGTGGCTTTACTTTACAGCAGCCATGTAAATAAGCCTGGAGAAACCATGTGGAATGAGAAAGGTGCACTCAGCCCTAGTTGTTCTGGCCACCCCAGCTGAATGAAGCCACGTGGAAATGTAAGTGAAGCCATCTTGGATGTTCTAGTCCAAGCAAAACCCATAGCTGAATTTATTTGCATGAGTGACTCTAGGTGATGCCATATGGAGCAGAAGAACTACAAGAGATAAGCCCAGCCAATGACCAGAAGTATGAGAAACAAATGTTGATTTTTAACCCACCAAGTTTTGGGTGGGTTTTACATAACAATAAGCAAACCTTTAAATTCCCCTTGTATTTCTATGTTCAGAGTGACTTACCTGTGCTATCACTTTTTAATATCTTTAGGGGAAATAATAGTGCTTTCCTTATAAGGATGTTGTGAGAATTGTGTCAATGTGCATAAAGAACTTAGTCCAACTTTAGGATCATAGCTGTTACTATAAAGACAAATCTTTGTTCAAGCATGGTAAATGGAATGCCTCTTGCAGTGGGTCAATTATAGGTGAAGAAAAACATGTTTGTGTAGCGTATTTCATAGAGTTCTAGGACATATATAACTTTGCCATTTTAAGGATAAATATATTAAATGTTTAATGTTATACCTAGCCTGTAAATTTCAGGGAAAATTAATACTATAATGGAGTCATCTTTTTTATGGTCACTGTGAGTACTTCACAGTGTTTTGAGGTCCTCTGGTAATAAACATAATTTTATGTGTCTTTATTTTCCAAACAATTTTTATGGATATTAACAATGCTATTCTGGTAAATATTTTCAACTTGTTCAAGAGGAAATAAAACTCTGATTTGAAGTGTTTGCCACTTCAAATTCCACAGGATAAATTCTTCTACCATGGCCAATTTCAACCCACCAAGACAATGTGACTCGACCAGAAGTTGGGAAGAGATGCTTAATAGGACACCATCACATAGTATTTCTATTATATAGATACAATAGACCTAATCTCAACAGTATAGATTCTGGTAAAATATAGTACAAAACTAAGAAGAGATGAATTTTTGAGAATTTACTCTTTGTTTTTATAATTTATTTAATTGTAAGATTAGATGATTCAATTTTTAAGGATAGCTGCGTTTAACAATCAATCCTCAAAATTTCTTAAATTTTAGCAATTGCCTCTCTTGCACCACTGTAGGCTGGCTGCAACACATCATTCTGTGCTAATTATTGTACAGAATGTGAAGATGGGTGACTAAATTTTAAAAATTCAAGCATTTACTGAGTTCCCATTTTATGTAAATCATGTCCACAAACATTATTTCACTTCTCTATATATGGGAGGTTGGGGTAGTTTATTATCTCATTTTTCTGAAGAGTAAACTGAGGCTCAGAGCTGTTAACAAAGAAACCAAAGTCATAACCAACCAAGGTTATATAGGAAAAGAGCAGGAATCGTATAGTGAGTTGTGGGGCCTATGACAAGTAAAAGTAATCATTGGCATTGTAAACACTATGTTGAGTATATGTTAATTCATTTAATCTTTGAAACAACTATAAGACAAGCATCTTTTTATCCCCTCTGCCTAGATGAGAAAATTGAGGGTCAAAAGGTCGCCTCAAGTTACACAGTTAGTAAGTGGTGCAGCTTGGGTAGAATCCCAGCCAGTCTGTGACCACAGCCCACATGCTCATCCTTTCAATGCCTAATTTCAAGGCAGTAGCTGCTAGTCAGCTTGGGTAAACTACTATATGACAATGTGGGCCAGTGTTGCCAGATCTTCTAATTTATCAAGAGAAAGACAGAAATATAGACATTTATGTGAAATACCCTGATCTTTTCTAAATTCTGGAAAGTCCTTGGTCAACAGATCTTTGGCTATTTCCCTCCCTTCATTATTTTCTTCCTCTTTTTTGATGTCCTATTATATGGATGTTGACCCTTCTACTTTATCCATCATGCCTGTTAACATTGACATAAATACTTTCATCTCCTTGTCTATTCCTAATGCCTTTGGATAGGTTTTTCAGTACTATCTTCCAGCTCAGTGAATCACTCTTTATCTCTAACCATTTTTTAGTTCAACCCAATCAATCAGTTTGGTTTTCTACAGCAGTGGTTTTCAAACTTGAGTGCCTCAGAATCCCCTTGGAATATACCCTAAAATACAGATGCCTGGATTCCAGTCCAGGAGTTTCAGATTCAGTAGATCTGGGGTGGGTGCAAGAGTGTGGATTTCTAACAAGTTTGCAGGTGATGCCAATGTTGTAGCTCCTGGGATTACATTTTAGGAACTGCTGCTTTAGCACAACTCTTCTGTTTTTCGTAACTCATATTTACAGTTGAATTGTCTTTATTACTGCTTAGTTCTGTTCCATTTTACTAAGCCTTGCCATATCACTTTGAATATATTCATTTAACATTTAAAATTCGATTCTGAAATATTAATTCAATTTTGTACAATATAATCTATCCAGGAGTTTTGCTTTTCTGTTTTTATATATACAGTATTTTTACATATACATATGTGTGTATAAGTGCACATATATTTAAGTGTATACTTATACTGAAATATAAATATCAATGTACATATACACATATGTTCTCCTCTTCTGTAGTGTTTTCCCGGGGAGTATCCACAAAGTGTGCCTGTGTGAAGAGATAAGAGCAGGTCCCAGCCTGTACCCCTCTGGGGGATTTTAGAGAATAGATTAGGTGGCTGCATCTAAAAAAAAAAAATAATCCTGAAACTCTGAGAGGGACAACTCTCTATTTGCCACCTCACCACCAGATAACCTTCCTATACCTCTTCCCAGAGCATGGATCTCATTTCCATGCTCCTGGTAAACACCTGTCACCCAGGTGTGAGGGACAGGGGGTGGGAGGAGAGAATTCTCGGGAGCTGTAGATCTGATTGAGCTTGGTATCGCCATCTCTCCCTTTAGCCCTGTCTAAGTCCGATACTGATGCCTGACATCCAGCCTGGGCCTTCACCGATGATGCCACCTCCTTGTAGAGTGACATGGCAGGAAATGACTCATTCAGGTAATGGGGTAAGAGGAAAGTGTACCATAGAATTCCCTCTCTCATTCTGATTGCTTTCTCTCGGGTCTGTTTCCTACCCACTCTGAGATGCATCTGTTTCTGGGAGTGTTTGTCTTAGTGCCAGATCGAGGCACTTCTTACTCCAAGTAGCGTTTCAGGGGGAAAGATCTACCAGCTCACTTTTACTCATCATCTTGCTAACAGCTGCAGCCTGTCCATCAACCTCCACACATCCAGCTCCCTCGTCCCTCCTCTCCAAGCCTCCCTTGTTATCTCTTCATTTGTCTTCCATTCATTATTTTTAACTCTTCATTCTTAGAAGTCATATTTTTAGTCCTTTTTAAGAAGAAACAATGCTTTCTAAAATTTTCCAGTTTTCTGTAGCAAATCAGTTTTGCTCTTTGACTAGGAATTTGAGACAATGTTCTATTTATCTGAAGGTTTCTCATGATCCATGTCACACATTTGAAAGCAACGTGTACTACATTGCACATGCATGTTTATAGGAGCACAATTCACAATTGAAAAATGTGGAACCAGCCCAAATGTCCTTTAGTCAATGAGTGGATAAAGAAATTGTGGTATATACATACGATGGACTACTACTCAGCCTAACTCAATATCTTCTAAGAATCTGAGTATGTTGGCTATCACATTATCTTAGCTATTTGCTGTTCACTTGGTTTGTAGCTAAAATTTCTTCTTAGTGCTTTGTGGGACGTTGCTTGTCCAGATTCCCAGAAAATTCTGTGACTGCTGAACTGAGGAGAGATTTTTTAGTCACTCTGATGCCTGTTTTTCTACAATATCAAATGAGTGACATACATGAAAATCCAAGACTTCTCTCATTTTCTGCAGTCAGAGTCTCAGCTGTCATCACAGCAGCTTGGCTTCTTCTATCACAACTTCTCACTCTCTTCCGTACCAGGCACCTCTCACAAACTTCCTGTGTTATTAAATGCTATCTTCTGAGAGTTTCAGTCTATGAAGACATATGTAAAGGAGATGTGTGCATAAAAGAAAAGGAAATAGTGTTCTTGCTTCTGGAAAATCAGTAGCTATATCAAACAAAAATGACTGAGCTCATTTTTGTTGGCTTAGCAGCCTAGTTATTGATTCAGGTGTTGCAACAGTCACAACAGATTAGGTCATGATGCACTAGCAAAGAACTCAAAATATCAGTGACTTCAAACAAGGAAGCTTCATGTTATATGGAATAGTCCATTTGCGAAAACATAATAATTTGTCATCTGTGATAATTCTCCTCCCTGTATCCATACCCTGAGGTAATCCTCTCACACAATGGCTCTGGGCTTGGTCATATAAAAATTGTTTTGATCAATGAGACATTAGGAAATGGGATTCAAGTGGATTCTTGAGAAGTGGATAAGCACATGTTCTCTGGAGTTCTTAGACCATTGTATGAAGAAACCCAAGTGAGCCTGCTAAAGATTGAGAAACCACATGGAAGAAACACAAACTGCCACAACAGAAGCTCATAAAGACTAACCAGCCTTCCAACCACCAGTGATCTGAATGAAGTTATCCTTAATCAACCTGTTGAGAGCAGACTTGCCAACTGACTATAGGCCATGAGAGAACTTTGCAGCGATAAGCAAAGCTGGTTCAGACCAGAAGAATTACAGTGATGATCCACAGACATGTGAGTAAATAAAATGGTTGCCATTTTTGGCCAGTAAGTTTTAGGTTGGTTTGTTACCCAGTAAGATTTAACTGAAAAGGAAGAGTGAAAGAAAGAACAAAAGGAAGGAAGGAAGGAAGGAAGGAAGGAAGGAAGGAAGGAAGGAAAGGAGGGAGGGAGGGGGGGAAGGAGAGAGAGAGAGAACAGAAAAGAAAGGAAAACAAAATAAAAGAGGAAAGAAAAGAAAGGAAAACAAAATAAAAGAGAAAAGAAAAGAACGGCCAGGCATGGTGGCTCACGAGGTCAGGAATTCAAGACCAGCTTGGCCAAAATGGTGAAACCCCATCTCTACTAAAAATACAAAAATTAGCTGGGCCTGTTGGTGTGTGCCTGTAATCCCAGCTACTGGGGAAGCTGAGGCAGGAGAATGGCTTAAATCCAGGAGGTGGAGGTTGCAGTGAGCAGAGATCGTGCCACTGCACTCTGGCCTGGGTGACAGAGCAAGACTCCACTAAAACAAACAAACAAACAAAAAACACCAACTTTGGGAGGCCGAGGCAGGCGGATCTCCTGAGGTCGGGAGTTCAAGACCAGCCTGACCAACACGAACAAACCTTGTCTCTACTAAAATACAAAAAAATTAGCTGGGCATGGTGGTGCACACCTGTAATCCCAGCTACTTGGGAGGCTGAGGCAGGATAATTGCTTGAACCCGTGAGGCAGTGGTTGCGGTGAGCTGAGATCGTGCCATTGCACCCCAGCCTGGACAAGCCCGTCTCTAAATACATAAGAGAAAGAAAGAAAGAAAGGAGAGAGAGAGAATGGATGAAAGAAAGAGAGAGAAAGAAACTATCCAGAAAAGCTACACATTCATTTGAAGACATAACCACTCTTTTCACCACTCTTTTCTTTTCCTTTTTTTTTTTTTTTTTTTGAAATGGAGTCTTGCTCTTGTTGCCCAGGCTAGAGTGCACTGGCGTGGTCTCGGCTCACCTCAACCTCTGCCTCCCGGGTTCAAGCACTTCTCCTGCCCCAGCCTCCCAAGTAGCTGGGATTACAGGCATGCGCCACCATGCCCAGCTAATTTTGTATTTTTAGTAGAGACGGGGTTTCTCCATGTTGGTCAGGCAGGTCTTGAACTCCCGACCTCAGGTGATCCACCCGCCTCAGCCTCCCAAAGTGTTGGGATTCCAGGCATGAGCCACTGCGCCCGGCCTCATTATTTTATATTGTTAACCTACTTTCTCATGGCTAGTATCACCCAGACATTTAAAGGTATGTAATGTAAAGACTGCATTATAGAAATTTCAAAAAGTATTCTCTAAGTGCACCATGAGCACTCCTGAATGTACTTTAGGAATTAAATATTTTTGATTAAATTAAATAATGTTTTCAATAATTCCCTGGCCATGTGTGAAATACACATTAGGAGAAAAATTATATTAATATTAAAATGCCAACAGAATTTAAAATTTTAGTCTCATCATAATTTTACCCCAGTGGTATTTGTTCTCATTAATTATAACACCCGTCTGGGTAATGAAAACGCCATCTCCACTTCTAAAGAAATTCCAGCATAACTGCCTTAACTACTGCTCCTTTAAAGCATGCCAAAGCTTGTGTTGATCAAATAAAGAATGGTCCACATGGACACTACAAAGCAGCATGAAAATTGCCTTGAGAAGCATAAGTTAGTTACTAAATCCTAAAAACCTTCAGTAAACATGAACGAATGTTATAAATCTGTGTGTGTGTGTATATATGTATATATGTATACATATATTTGTCTAACAATTTTCTTTTCAAATTCTCTTGTCAATGTAGAGTGGAAATTGAGTTTTAATGCATGCATCTCACGGGTACTTGGAAGGTGGGATGGAGGGAGTAGTGGCAGCCTACTTCCAAAATCTTTTAGAATTCCAAATTTTAGAAATTCAAATAAGTTTAAATAAATTGACATCATTATGAATCAGCATTAAGTCTCATTAGAAATATAAACAAAGTTACCACTTCAGTAAGAATAATGACAGCAGGAGATAACTCTTTTAAACAGAAAGCAAAACTCTTATCTAAATACTCAAGAAATAGCAATCTGACACATAACTTTTACATTCTTATACGAATGTTTATACAAGTAATTATAAAGCAATTTGGACTTTCAGGTTGAGAACTGTTCAATAGTATCCCCTTTACTCCTGTCACTAGTATTCTCTTCATTCAAACCATTAAATGTTTGCTTTATATTATAGCAATACAAGTGAACTTTTAAATGTTTTTATTTTTAATTTTTATCAGTACATTATAGGTGTATATATTTGTGGGATACATGAGATACTTTGATACAAGCATGCAATGCATAATAATCACATCATGAAATATGGGGTACCTGTCTCCTCCTCAAGCATTTATCTTTTGTGTTACAAACAATCCAGTTATACTTAGTTATTATAAAATGCACAATTAAATGATTATTGATTATAGCCAACCTGCTGTGTTATCGAATGCTAGGTCTTATTCATTCTTTCTATTTTTTTATACCCATTAACCATTATCACTTTCACCCCTCTCCTTCTACCTTTCCCAGCCTCCGGTGACCATCCTTCTAGTCTCTATCTCCATGAGTTTATTGTTTTTATTTTAGCTCCCACAAGTAAGTGAGATCATGTGAAGTTTGCCTTTCTGTGCCTGATTTATTTCACTTAACATAATGACCTCCAGTTTCTTCCCCGTTGTTGCAAGTGACGGGATCTTACTTTGTTCATGGTTGATTAGTACTCCCGTGTGTATATGTACCACATTTTTTTTTATTTATTCATCTATTGATGGACATTTAGTTTGCTTTGAAATCTTAACTATTGTGAATAGTGCTGCAACAAACATGGGCATGCAGATATCTGTTTGATATATTGATTTCCTTTTTGGGTGGTATATACCCAGCAACAGGATTGCTGGGCCATATTGTACTTCTATGTTAAGTTTTTTGAGGAATTCCAAACTCTTCTCCGTAGTGGCTGTACTAATTTATATTACTACCAACAGTGTATGAGAATTCCCTTTTCTCCACATCCTCACCAGCATTTGTTATTGCCTATCCTTTGGATAAAAGCCATTTTAACTGAAATGAGACAATATCTCATTATAGTTCTGATTTGCATTTCTCTGATGATCAATGATGCTAAGCATCTTTTCATATGCTGTTTGCCATTTGTATGTCTTCTTTTGAGAAATATGTATTAAATCTTTTGTTCACTTTTAATCAGATTAGAGTTTTTCCTATAGAGTTGTTTGAGCTCCTTATTCTGGTTGTTAATCCCTTGTCAGATAGGGAGTTTGCAAATATTTTGTCCCATTCTGTGTGTTGTCCCTTCACTTTGTTGATTGTTTCCTTTGCTGTGCAAAAGCAAACAAACATTTATTGAACACTTACTCTGTGCTTTATTCTAAGCATTTTGTAATGTATTTGAAATGAACATCATCATATGGACACCTCAGTTAGGTAGATACTATACTCTTTCTCATTTTATATATGAGGAAATTGAGGCACCAAGAAATTTAACAATTAGCCCAGTTATTCAGCCAATAGATGAGGAAGCCTTGGAGATACGATAGCTGAAAGTTTGATTCATGCATCAGGTCCTTAAGCACTACACAGTTCAGAAACCAAAGTTTGGATGCAGTTGAAACCATTGAGCATACCAATGTATGACTTAGGACAAGACAACCACCTCCCGGAAATGTAATCATCCCCACATCTACAAATTAAGAATGGGATAATCTGAACTCCATGGCCCATCTAGCACTAATGTGAGATAACCTCAATGTATTCTGTCTGTGCGCACTGAGAGTGGGCAAGTCTCCATGGGCAATGACCATGGCTGTGGCCCAGCCTCTTCTTCACTGGGAATATAGACATATACTGTCCAGTAGGGCAGCCACTAGCCACATGGCCTATTGAGCACTTGAAGTGTGTCTAGTCTGATTGAGATGTGAGGTGAATGTAAAATACATGCCAAATTAGAAAAGACACATTACCAAAAAAAACAAAAAACAAAAAAAACACACTTTAGTAACATTTTAATATTGATTATATAGTGAAATAATAATTTTGGAAAATTTGGGTTAAATAAGATACATTACTAAAATTAACTTATCCTGTTTGTTGTTACTTTGTTTTTAATTTAGCTACTAGGAGATTTAAAAGTACATATGTGGACTATATTATATCTCTATTGGACAGCATTGGCTTAACAATGGGTAGTAAAGTAAAAGAGGGACTGATACGTAATTGTTACCACCAATTCAGATTTTACTTGAGCTAATTTAGTTCAAGATAAAAGAGTTTCTGGACTTAAGAAATCCTGAACATTTTCTTTTTCAAAAAGGCCTTTATTATAATACTTACTCCCCAAAAAGATTTTGAAAAAATATTGAGAAGGTATTTAAAAAAGCCACTAGGGCAATATTTTTCTTTTCTTTTCTCTTTTCTTTTCTTTCCCTCCCTTCCTTCCTTCCTTCCTTCCTTCCCTCTCTTTCTCCTTCTCTCTCTCCTTCCCTCCTTCCTTCTTTCCTCTTTCTTTCCCTCTCTCTCACCCGCTCTCCTTCCCTCTCTTCTTTCTTTCCTTTTTCTCTTTCTCTCTTTCTTTTTCTTTCCCTTCTTTCTTCTTTCCCTCTCTCTCTCCCCCTCCCCTCCCCTCTCATCTTTCTTTCTTTTCTTTTCTCTTTTCTTTCTCTCTCTCTCTCCCTCTCTCTCTCCCTCCCTCCCTCCCTTACTTCCTTCTCTCTCACAACTCTCTTCCATGTAGGTAGTCTCATAAATGTCTAACTCCTGGCTCTGGGGAAAACCTGGTTTATAGAGTCTTCCAATTTTTATAGTGTAAATGTTCCTCACACAACAGATTTCAAACCACCAACATGATGCCACTGAATGTGGAATTGGAATGAGATGTGCAGCGCCACATTAGTATATATTATTTCCACCATACACATGCTGCTGTGGTCTAAATATGTCCCCTGAAATTCATGTATTGGAAACTTAATCCCCAATGCAACAGTGCTGGGAGGTGGGGCCTAATGGGAGGTTTTTAGGTCATGAAGGCTCTGCCCTCACGAATAGGTCAATGCCGCTATTAAAAAGGCTTGCAGGAGTGGGAGTGGGTTCTCACTCTTCTGTTTTTCTGTCATGTGAGGACACAGACTTCCTCTTTTCTTCTTCTGCCTGCCACCATATGAATGAAGGAAGATTCAGCAAGAAGCAGGACGCTAGATGCTGGCAACTTGACCTTAAATTTCCCAGCATCCAGACTGTGAGACTACATTTCTTTTCCTTATAAACAATCCAGTCTCAGGCTGGGTGTGGTGGCTCACACCTGTAATCCCAGCACTTTGGAAGGCTGAGGTGAGCGGATCACCTGAGGTCAGCGGATCACCTGAGGTCAGGCGTTCGAGACCAGCCTGGCCAACGTGGCGAAACCCCATCTCTACTAAAAATACAAAAAAATTAGCCAGGCATAATGGCACACACCTGTAATCCCAGTTGCTTGGGAGGCTGAAGGAGATTCTGCTCAAGGAGAATCACCTGAACCCGGGAGGCAGAGATTGCAGTGAGCCAAGATCCTGCCACTGCAATCCAGCCTGGGCAACAGAGTGAGACTCCGAAGAAGAAAGAGAGGGAGGGAGGGAGGGAGAGAGAAAGAAAGAGACAGAGAGAGAGAGAGAAAGAAAGGAAGAAAGGAAGAAAAGAAGGAAAGAAGGAAGGAAGGAAAGAGAAAGAGAGAGAAAGAAAGAAAGAAAAAGAAAGAAAGAAAGAAAGAAAGAAAGAAAGAAAGAAAGAAAGAAAGAAAGAGAAAGAAAGAAAGAAAGAGAAAGAAAGAGGAAGGGGGAAGGGAAAAGGGAAGGAGGGCGGGAGGAAGGGAGGGAGGGAAGGAGGGAGGGAGGGAGGGAGGAAGGAAGGAAGAAAGAGAGAGCGAGAAAGAGGTAGAAAGAGAGGGAAGGAGGGAGGAAGGATGGATGGATCCAGTCTCAGGTTTTCTGTAATAGCAGCACAAAAGAGAGTAAGACAGACACAATAGAAGTAAATAATCTTAGGAGCATATATATAAAAGTAAAATGCAGTGAAATTATTAAGGGGTAGTGAGTTCTATGTATTTTTCCTTGTTTTTAATATAATTTATTAATTTTAAGTTTATATGATTTACTTTTTAATAGCAGCTGTGTATAACAACCGACTTGCCAAAAAAAATTAAACCTAAACATTTAACAGTGAACTCTCCAGCTGGCTTCAGCCCATCACTGCTATGGCATTTACTTGCAAATCAAATGGAAAACAAGCCTTCTTCTAAAATAAATAAATAAATAAATAATAAATAAATAAATAAATCTTACCCCCAATCATCCAACTATCCACAAGGCACAGACCCAGGTAATGGTTATCATACACAGAAATACAGTACTGGAAGGCACAGAAACAGGTTATTTGGCTGATTCTAGTGTCATTAATCTTGGTCTCACATAAGCCATCCCAAAAAGAGATAAGAAAATCCCATCTAAGAGCCCTCAAGGGAGGAGACTCTTAGCCTCCCTTGCTAACTCTCAGGAAGTTCCTTCTTATAACTAACCTAAGTTTCTTTTGCTACAGTGAAGGGTAATTCTTGTTTGCTCTGTCTTTAGTGAAGGTGGAAACAGCTGGTTACCATCCCCTACATTATAACTCTTCATGTAAGGAAATGAAACACCCCAAGCCAGCTTCCAAATCTGTTCAGCTGTAAAAACAGGCTCTTCTTGAGCAAAAACAAACAATAAATTAAATGGAATTGGGAGTTGAGAAGTGCTGCATATTTCACTCCAGGGAAACACCTCGGGCCAGGTTATACCCTCGTCAGCGCCTAGTGATCAAAGGCACATTTTCCCTGGAAACAAATTCAAGGAGTAAAACAGATGGGATTATTAATCAAATTGCTCTTAGCATTTGGGGCCATCTACAGAACATCCTTAAGCAAGAGGCACTCTACTCTTTATCTTGTAATAAGATTGTAAGATCTTGGCTCAATGCATTGTTGCCTTGTATGCTGACACCTTGCTTGCTATGTCCAAGTTTTTTTATGAAAAAGAATGCAATAAATTAGAGTAGTTGCAGAAGCCACATTTTAGGTGGTACAAGTAGGCCAGTAGAGGTTAAAATGGCAACTACTATTCAAAGCTATGCCACCTACATTTTAATGCTGGGTTCTTATCTCTTGAAAGGAATTTAAAAAAAAGAGAGGCAGAAGAATGGATTCCGTAGTGTAGGACTAGCCTGACAGGAAGCAAAGGGGGGCATTTTGAAAAGAAAGAAATTAAACAGCCCATGTTCCTGTCAATTCACGATAGTGGCATACACATCAGGGAGAGAACGGAATCTTGAAGCTGCAAAATCAAGGATTTTAGGAGATGGGTTTGTTATTCGTTTTACTCGCCCTATGCACTCTCTGAAGGCTGCCTTTGAGTTTAGATTCACTCTGATGTTATGGAAACTTGAGGTTGGACTTAGAATCCTAGCACCTGATTTACTTGCCTCTTCTCAAGCAGTCAAGGGCCTTTTTATTTTGTGTAGCTCAAAAAGGTCATCCTTTTTCCATCAACTCTTGTTACCCTGACTCATCATTTCTTTTCTGTTTTGAGTCAAAACACCCAGATTTCAAAGCCAAATTCAGCTCATACTGCCACACTTTCCCTCGGACTATGTCAAATCCCCAGGAAAGAAGAATGGACTGAGTTTCTTTTGCTGGGCTCCCACAGGTAGACTTTGCTGGGGTTTGTTTCCTGCAACCAAAATTCAGCCCTGCTCTCATCCAAGGAGCCTGAAAAATGTTATGATCCTGACCCACAGGTGATGCTGCATGTCACCTCCTCTGTGGACACTCTCTATTTCTATTCCGCCTTCTATTTCTTAAGAAAAGGTTTCCAGTGCACTAGAAGGCAGTAAGATGCAGAAACACCCTTCTCTAGGGCCACATAATTTAAAGCCCACACAGCAACTGGTCATACCTATCTATGATGAGCAGGTATGCCATGCAACAATTCCTGCTGAAGCTCAAATGCACACCCTTTGTAAGCTACAGTAGAAGTAAAAAAATAGCAGCCTGCAGTCCAAATCCAGCCTGGCCAGATGTTTTCAGTGGTCTTCTCAATGCCTTTTTTGTTTTTCCATTTGAATTAATTTCATAGGATTTTAAAATGGAGAAAACCCGCTTATAAATCTAAATTCCTAACTTCTCCAGAGTCTCATGCCACACTGTGCCAAGTTCTGACATAGCAGCAAATGTCACAGCAGAGTGTGACTGCCCCTCTAGACATCGCAGTCCCCACTCCTCCCTAGCATCAAAACATCCATTGTTATCTATCATTGCGTTTGCTAGTTATGTCTCTGCTTCTAGGCTTACTTTAGTCTTATGTCTTTCCTACATACTACTGGCCTGAAATGTTGTAAGAAATGAAAGGTAAAACCATATCCTGCATGAAGGATTAATATAAACAAGAAATTGATTTCAAGGCTAAAAAGATCATGTAAGGCAAAAAAAGAAAAAAGAAAGGAGAGCTCCGGAAACAGTGCTGCTGCTTGGCCACAGGCTTCTTCTCATCCTCTGGAGTAGGGGTTGGCAGAATCTACTGGCTCTGAAGGTGAAGCCTTGGGGACCACACAAGGAAATAAACCAAAAGGTTTGTAGTAGTCTTCTTGTACCCATCCAAAGATGGTCTTTAGCCATTTCTTTTTTTCTTTTAGTATTTATTTCCCATCATTATTACAATATGATTAAGTTGCATATATTTTGGAAAATAAAAAGAAAGAAGGAAGTCTCCCTGTTAATACAGTCTCACTGTCCCCTATTCTTAAATAACCACAGTGATCTGTTACTTGTGAATCTCCCAGAAAATGTCTAGGTATCTACACGTATTTATATCCGCTCTTTTACAAAGATGAGGTTTTACTATGCTCATTTTTCAGTTAACAGTGTTAGCCCATATAGTTCTTCATTATTCACTTTTGAAAGTGATGTTTTACAGTTTTTATTATAATAGAATGATGTACATTCATAGTAAATCATTCAAGACAGTTAAAAGGACAGATACAATTAAAAGTTACCTAAAAACATTTTCACCCAGGAACAATGGTTACCAATATTTGAAGATCTTCATCACAGACAATTTTCTATATTTACATACAGGCAGAAGGATGAATGGATAAGTGGATGAATGGATGGCAGGAAGGAAGGATGGAGGACAGATTGATAAATCAGTTAATAAATGCATAGAAAAATGAGAACATGCTATGACTGCATTTTGAAATAAAAGGTTTAAATAGATTTTCTTGAATATAAAGGGGACAAAAAGAAAGCTAAGGAACTATTCAACTTCAGAAAAAGAATATTTCTTCATAAAATGAATTCTTAAATTATCCTCTAAAGGAAAAAATGTGAAAAACATTAAGTGTTAGATAGTATCTATTGACTCTTCTTTGTGAAAAATGTGGAAACTAGCATCCTTTTTAAATTATGTGTATTCTTTTTTTATATTTGGTTTTTATGACACTTACATTCTGTTCTGTCACAGTAATTTCAAGAGTCGTTCAGTTTTATTTCTGTATTTAAATAACCTCAACGCTCACCATCACCAGCATTTTCTCATGGATGCTCCATTTCTGAGGCTTTAAAAATATATATTGATTCTTTGATTCATTGGCTGAATTAAATATGTCAATGGTTTTCTTTCAAGAGCTCTTGGGTGTTCTAGTTTTTCAATTATTGCATATTTTAAAATGTCGACTTCATGCTTAAGGGACGACTTGGTTTCTCTGTAGGTGTGCGTGTGTGGCTGTGTGCACGCACGCGTGCCCATGTGCGTGTGTCTCTGTGCGTGTGTGTGTGTATGTAAAATTCTCAGGTCACACTTTTCCTCAGAACCCCATGGACATTGTTCTGCTGTCTTCTGGCATTGTTTTCTATGTAGAGTAATCAAATATCCTCCCAATTAGTGACCACTTCTTCTGTCTAGAAGCCCATTAAAGTATTTCCTTAATACTTGTGTTTTAACAGCTTCACTAGGATTTATCTTGGTGTTTGTTATGTCATTTTTGTCTTGGACAACATGTACCCACTGAATCTGAAGATTCAAGACTTATGAGAAACTTTCAGGAAACTGAAGGCAGAAGAGAGGCTAAGTAACTTTTTCAAGATCACACAGCTAATAAATGGCAAGGTCTGGATTTAAACCCAACTGCCTGATTCCAGAATCCAGCCTGCTTCATGCAGTACAGTCTATCCTAATGAGGAAGTGTATTGGCATCTCCTCTCTAAGCCAGTCAGTCAGCTGGCTTACTCCAGGGATATCTGCATTTGGCAAGTTCTAGACTATTTAGACAGTCCCCCACCATTTGGAAGTCACTGTCCAGTGAAAGGATAACAGAGTGGGTTTCAACCATTGTGGCACTGCATGCTTCTGAGGAAGAGAAAGGAGGTGGACGGAGGAGATGGAAAGACAAAGGTAGCAGATTAAAAAGGAAACAGATAATCAGAGAAAGCTGATGCAGATGGATGGAAGCACGGTTTGCTCCTGCTACTACAGGACATGCTAAGGGAAGTAGAGTATAATTGGCTGTATCCCCTGACTTCAGTCTTCCCTGGATGCAACTTTCCAGGTTTCCTCAAATTCTAGGCTCACCATAGCACGAGAAGAGAAGAGATCACATGGTGCGCAGGTGCCTAAGCAGGTAAGCCCTCTCAAACATCAATATCGGCAACAATTCTCAAGGTGTGATGGAGCAGCACTAGCCAGAGTCTTTCTAGACCCAGCTCTTTCTAGACCTAACTGCTGATCAGATGCTCTGAAACTTCCACCTTGATATCAGTCACTGGGGTTGACATTCTCTCTACAGAAAGCCATTGATTATTTTTTAAAAAGGGTCGACTTTCGTTACAATAGGATGACACAGTAGACTCATGAAGTTGAAAGGGGCTTGAGAGAATAGTGAGACCACTCTCTCATTTTAGAGGTCAGACAGCTGGAGCTTGATTTTTAGATTAGTGAACTGTAAAATTAGAAAGTAGGGGATAAGGAAGCATAGGATACCGGGACCTGAAAAACGATGAGCATGGATACAGGAATAACTGCAGCAAGGCAGTGGGTGTTGTGGGTTCTCTGCCCACATCCCTGTACAGGTCAGAGGCACCCATCCCCTGGCTGCAGTGAGTGTTGGCTGCTAATGGCTTACCCACTACTTCTTATCCCCACTTCTCCAGAGAATTGTCATGAACCACCGGGAGCCACCTTGCCTAAGAGATGATGCCCCCTACCTAGGGCAGCCCACAGCTAATGATTGACTGAGACAGGATTATAAAAGAACAGCATCTTTGCTTCCTGGTGGAACCACATCTGTAGTATAATGCATGTTTCTCTCCTCCCCATGAGGTCAGGCCAAAGCTGGGTCACAGCTGGACCACATCCTGGCTTATCTCCTATCCCTACCCCCTTCTGCTTTTCTCTCCTCCTCTTGAGAGTAAATCATGTGTATCTGAATTTCTGTCTTAGACTGTGTTTCTAGAGAAGCGAACTTCACGCAAGCAGGATACTGACTAGGGGAGGAAGCAACTCAATTCTTGGCCTACTTAACACTTAGCCTGAAGGAGACTGTAGTCCCAGAATAACCAAAGATTTCCCCATTCTCTCTGTTACTCTCCAATGTTTCAATGTTTCCAATGTTTCATCCAGGAAAAGACATACAAAGTCTGAAATTTATCCCTTAATATACAGTCATACTAGCTCTGTGTTTAAGTCCAAAGAAGGGTCTGCACTTTTGTCTGGTAACAGAGTGACCACTCACTTAGTCTCCAGGGACAGTAGGACTTAGATGATGCCTCCAGTGTGAGGCATCCCAGGGCCTTCTAAGACTAAACGTACAGCTCATTAGCCACACTGCCCTATTCCAGTCTGCAGTAAAATGATTCATTCATCTTCTGTTTCATGGGTGCTCTGAATGGAACTCTCCTACAAATTGAGATAAGGCACAGGAATTGAAATACTTAGAGACAACAAGTGTTTTATTTAGAAGTAAAACAATAACAAGGCCATGTCTGAGAACTGCAAGCTGGAGTTTCTCTCTCCGTGAGAAGTGTCGTCTTAAAGCTCAGGACTTGGATTGCCCTGCCAAATGATTAGATTCACTTCAGTTTTTTTCGATCTTTGCCTGGGGCCACCTCACTGGGATTTTCCCTTTTCTCCTCTACTTCTCCCCTCCTCAGTAATCCCTCAACCATGCTCCTTTACCAAGGACCCCTCATGATGGTCCTGTGTCCTAGTAAAATCAGCTCAATGGGGTAAGGCAGGAGGCAGGTTGTTCTCAGAAACAGCAGCTAAAGGGAGTCCAGTGATCAACAAATACCAGTTGGTGCTGCTCAAGGAAGATTTCAGCAATGCCCTTTAAAATGTGCTGCTTCATTTACAGTTACCCTCCTCTCCTCAAAGGGGAAGCTACCTGAAGCAGTTTGATCAGCATTCTTAACTCGTTACTACTGCTAAAAATTAAATGTTTTAATGGCAGACACTCTGACTCCAGACATTGTAATTAAAGATCACCGTTGATTCAAGAGGTGAGTATAATACTGATCCTCTTTGTTTTTGGTTATTGAGACTAAATGTTAGTAAAATATGAGCTTTGCAAAGGAAGAGCCACAGCTGGGAAGCCAATCTGTAGTCAAATAGCCATGCTACATCAGTTGGCAGAAGCGAGGTTGTGTAGCCACGACAAAGAATTTCTGAGCTTCAGTGGCTGAAAACAACAAAGGAGTGTCTCTTGCTTGGCTGCATGTCTATTGCAGGTCACTTGGAGACAACAGCTAACAGGAGTAGTCTCTATATAAAAGATAATTATATTTTTGTATTCTTAGTAGAGTCAGGGTTTCACCATGTTGGCCAGGATGGTCTTGATCTCTTGACCTCGTGATCCGCCCGCCTCGGCCTCCCAAAGTGCTGGGATTACAGACATGAGCTGGGTCTTTTGGTGCGGGCCTTTAGTCCCAGCTACTCGGGAGGCTGAGGCAGGAGAATCACTTGAACCCGGGAGGCAGAGGTTGCAGTGAGCCGAAATCATACCACTGCACTCCAGCCTGGCAACAGAGTGAGACTCTGCCTCAAAAAAAAAAAAAAAAAAAAAAAAAAAAAAAAAAAAAAAGATAATTAAACACTATGGCAGAGAACAAAAGATCACACTCTGAAGTTAATTTTCAGCTCAAAAGTGATGTGTTACTTTTACTCACAGCTCATTGGCCAGAACAATTATCAAGGATAGTGAGACATATTCCATCAGATTCAGTGGCTAACCTGTGTTCTAACTCTCAGACTAGCCCCCAAAGAAATCTTTTGAAAATGTCCTACCATCGAGTTTTACTCCATTAACAAACATTGATTAAACACTTATCATGTGCCTAGCACTGTCCTAGGTACAATATGGGCTGCAGAATAAGTTTAAGATTTTATATTTATCTTCTGAAAGTTTCCAATATGGCTGGAAGATGATCAAGAAACAAGAAAGATATATAATAATACAAGATAGGACAAAATTATGTGATAAATCATGCAGTAACCAAATCAAACATATGACATTTATTTTTCTCTATCTATACATGGAATAATTGATCTGCTACACCAGCACTGTCCAATAGATACACAATACAAGCCACATTTGTAATTTTGAAATCTCTTATAGCCACCGTATAAAAAGCAAAAGGCACAGGGAAAATCAAGTTTACTAATACCTTTTATTTAACCCAATATATCCAAATTACTAATGGATCTTTCCACATCCTTTCCCTTATAATAAGTCTTCAAACTCCAATGAATATTTTGTACATATATCTTACCTCAGTTCAAACTAGACCTCAAGTGCTCACATAGCTAGTGGCTATTGCAGTAAAGCATTTTACCTAGTAACATTAACAAGAACATTTGCACGCTTATTGCTAACTTGGCCAGAATTTAGAACAAACAAACAAACAAACAAACAAAACTGCTGGTGCATGGCATGCCTGCTGATTTTTTCCAGTTGTTTAACATGACACCCTTTTTTGGAGGTCAGTCTATATATAGCTTATTTTTATTCTGCAAAGTGATACGGTTCCATGGACTTAAAATAGGACTACAAAAAGTGCACTGAGAAGAAAACATGAATCCATCCAAAGTTAGGGGATTCAAGCAACAAACCAAACGCATGTTCTGTTAGGACTGCAGGTGGGGGAAGGGGCTAAGCAGAGGGTAGGAGTGTTGAGGATGTGCCTAATTAAAGCCTGCTTGTTGAGACTCGTGAGAGTGCAGCCCTTTTCTTAAAAGGTTAAACAAAAAGCAGGGCCACTGTATTTCAGCAGGCTAATTACCAAGAGTGGTTTTGACCTTTTCTGTTTCTGGAGATTTATGATAGAACATTTTCCTTTGACATGGCACAGGGCTCTTTGGATCCAGGTTGAGTATAATCAGGTGTGCTTCTAGTGGAACCCTTTCTTTGCATAAAGGCATGTCTGTGTTCCCAAGCATGGCCAGGAAGAGTCCCACGATGGAAGAGTCCCCCAGGGAGTTGTGTGTCTACTCCTTCACAAGCACCCCACCCTTCTGAGGATCAACTTTATCTATGGAGTTGAAGAAACACAAAAATAAACTATTTTCACAGCGGAAACTGTTATTGACAAAGGCTGTGGAATCTGAGCCTTGAAAATGCTACCAGAGTCCAGTTAATCTAATAAAGCTCTTGATATTAATGGGCTTAGCTAGTGGGAAAGTCTGAAATTCCTTCTGAGAGCCAACAGGGTCCCTTGGTGAGCTAAAGTCTTTCAGGTGGTTTTTCTTTAGGCCCCAGCATGCCAATTTCACTAGATGTTCCATTTCTTCAGGATAGTCATTTGCACTTCAGTTTTGATTAATTCTGATTGGCTCGTTTTTCCAAGCCAGGTGTACAAACTCCGTGACCTTGGCTGTTGGTTGGCTCCGTTTCCTAGTGCTAACGAAGTAAAAAGTATCTTTGTAAACCCCAGGTGGGTTTGCTAACTAACTGACTTCAGCCACCTTGTAATGCTTGCCAACCCTATCAAAGGAGAGAATCTGGTAAAAAGCAGGTCAATCGATCCAATTCCCAGAAATTGACTACTCCCAGAAATACAACTCAAAAGGTAGACAGTACCCGTGAATGGGTCCTGAGTACATCTTTATAATGGAAAGGCGGCATTATTAAGCTTAAAGCCTTGTCCTGTACCTGCCACTATAATTTTCTCTCAAAATTGCCTCTTTCAGATGGAGCCAGCAGATCTAATTTTACCCTCATATACCTACAAACCATCAGTCAGTCTTGGCCCTTATGGCCACATTTCAAAATCTAGACTCAGAGGATTTGGTTTGTATTCATAATCTCATTTAACCATAGTGAGAAAGATAAACAATGTTTATTGAGAAAATCAGCTAATGTTAGAGGTCACTGATGATTGGGTTGATGAAGACATCAGTGACTTAGGATTCTTTTGACTCTCCTTGCTTCTTACTTTCCTGAAATTCTGGAGTGAACACAGAACATTAAATAGAGCTGACTTCTTTGTTAATTGTTCATTGAGAAAGGGCACTCAAACCTGATGATAGGAAAGAAGCAGGAACCTCCTTCTCTGGTTTTGACTTTCAACATATCCAAGCTTCTGGAATGATAAATGGAAGCAGCATCACTGTGCTACTAGTTTCATTTTTCAGATCTAGTTGTAAAAAGCTATTGGAAAAAACCTCTTAATCTAAACAAAAACCAAACAATGATGCCTACATTCCCCCAGGGAGAAGCAGAGCAATTGCTATTTATAATAATGGCAGCTGACAGCAACGGCTTTAAAAAATGCTTTCCCTCCCGTTGTCAGTTTTGGACTGAAGTTGGAGGCAAACGAAGCTCTGATAACATTGGTGTATTGTTCCTGTAGGTCCTAACCTCAGCAGGCTGCATCAGTATCTTCTGTCTGAAGAAGTTGCTTTCTTTTCATCAAACACATTCCAGAAGTCAGCGGTAAAAGCACTGACGGGGGAGAGCAGATTGATCCATTAACTCTCACCCAGTTCCTTGGCTGAACCCTCGCTTCACATTCCAGTTTTAGAGATTTGGTGAGTTATCAAACAGGAAACAAGCTCTGAAAGGAATTGTGTCTTTGGAGGTTGTTGCCAAGGCTCCTTCTTGTAGCCTGTGCACCCTAGAGAGGATGAGAGATCTGCCTCCTAACAACAGTTTTCAAGACTTCTCAAACTTTCTGCCTGAATTATGGGGTGGGGAGACCTTGTTAAAATACACGTAGTGTATACAAGTAGCGGTGGATCCTGAGACTCTGCATTTCTGTGCTTCTAATAAGCTCCCAGCTGATGCCAATGTCATGCCCATGAGCCACATTTTGAGTAGGAAGGAGCTAAAAAGCACTGGGAATCTGACAGAAGACAAGGTAGTTGCCTTTTTACCCATTTGAGTTTAAGCTTCCAACGTTATCCAACAATGCATCATATATACTTGCCAAATGACATTGGGTTGAATGCAGTGGGAAGAAATACATAAGAAACTGCCCAGTGTGTGGTTATTCAAACACCTACTGCTCAGGTTGTGAACAACACAGTCACTTTAAACCCCATGGGCCCAGTGAGAATGAGGAATCCCGGCAAAAAACAAAGGTGTGTGTCTCTAAGGTGAGAAGATTGACAAGGGAAGATAGCCTCCATACTTTCAGCAAGGCTAAAAGAGGAATAGTGATTATTTCCTCTGTGCTCAGTTCTCTTTCGGGTGACTTTTTAACCTCAGGAGGTACTCCAGGCCACTTTGAGGGGAATTCGATTTGGGTGTAGCCTTTTAAGGCACCATTCCATGTGACTAAAATAAAGATCACAAGTGAGATCCAAAGCACAGAGAAGTACTGCCTTAACAGATCTGAACTTGCGGCAAGTTGCAGCTCCTCACCATAGTCCAAGTTTCACTTTTCTCTCAATTGAAGAGCCTGAGATAACTGCTGAATTTAGTTTTCGTTTTCTCCAAGAAGAGTGACCTTCTTACCTTAAATTCTTTAAACTTACTGATAAGGTTTCATGTCAGACAGACCTGGCCCTGGTGTTTTGACATACCGCCTGTGCCATCTTGAACGCCAGACTTTTACAAATGTTATTTTCTCTTTTGTAAAATTTAAATGATGAAAACCTACCCCACGGCATTGCTGTGAATCCTAAATAAGGTAACGTATAAACCAAGTATGTATAGTCTAAATAAATCAATAAAACAACACATGCACCTATCTTTCCAATTGTTAAAAAAAAAAAAAAAGTAGAACATCTTTGTCCCCAAAAGCAGCTCAAAATTCTTCTAGGAGTAGAGAGGGCATTAGAAATGCCAAAGGATTTCCTTTGGTGGCGAATTTGACGGCTGGGAAATATTTTAGGAGAGAGAAGGCCATAATTTAAAGTATCCTGACATCAATAAATATTTCCTTAGCATTTAGCTGTGAGAGCTCTGAATCCTCTGTCTGTTCAGAAATTTCTAATTTAAAAATAATATGGTGCTTTGGGAGTTTGTGAATCCACACAAACGTCAGAAAGACCCGGTGTCGTCATAGTTTTCCACACTTAGGGAGATGTGTACACTGCCCTTATTTCTTCCTGAGATGACGAAGGAAGACAAGGTAACCTCCATTACCCCTTCAGCCCCATATCTCTTTGATTATATTGAGAAGAGGCTCAGAAATAGCATTAGTTCTGACTAGAGAGTGAGATTGGCATTAGGACAGGCCATGACTGCCCAACTGATGGGCAGATAACACCTTCAATATTCTAATTACCACATTCCTAAATAGCTGCAATGCACATCCATCTCAGCCAATTGTTTTTAAGCTCAGATGACTTTCTTGAGATTACAGAATTGGACAAAGTTTATTGCTAAATATTTGTTGAAATGGCTTATAAGGTTTCAGATAAATCCTAAATTCTTATGGTCACCTCTGATTCTGGACCAAGCATCAATCCCTTGAGGAGGCTACTCTATCCCACCCCTCTTCACCCACCATCATGGGAAGACTCCATTCTTCTTACTCTACTCTCCTGTGCCCATTCCAGACTTCAAACACTAAGATGCCAGATTGACATCTGGTTGTCTAAGAAAAAGACCATTAAGACAATTTGCAAGTAAACATCTTAAAATGACAATAGCCTTGCCTTTCTTCCACCTACCAGTCTCCCTTTCTCAATTACATTCTATTTTTCATCTTGTGGCCAGAATAGTATTTTCTTTCCTACTTAAAACCTTTCGCTGGTGCTCTGCTGTCCCTGGGATAAAGTTTGAATGGTACATGTTCTTCGTGATCTGGCTCCTGCTGATCTTTCCAGCTGTGCCTGTCTAAAAGTCCCACTCTTCCTCCTTCCCTTCCCAGCATCCAAGTCTCCACAGCTGAGCTCAGACGAACTTGGGATTGCACTCCATGTGAATGTGGTCTTCTGCCTTAGTCGCTCTTGTCCTGTGCTGCTCCCCCAACAATAGCTTACCTTGTGATGAATTCTGACTTACCATTAAGGTATCCCCCTGGACATCACTTCCTGAGATTGGTGCCTCTCCTATGTATTTCTGAATGTGTCCAGTGCTACCTGCTTATTAGTTGGTGCACCCCATTTCTAAGCTGGTAAGAACCATGCCTTATTCACTGTTATATTCCCAGCATCTAAAATCCTTCCTGCCACATTGTAAGGGTTCTGCAAACACTTGAATAAATGAATGAATAAATTACTTTCTATATAATAGTTCAGTAGTTCTGAATGTGTGGCCCACAGATCAGCAGCATTAGTTTCACCTAAAGACTTGTTAGAAATGCATTGCTGGGTGTGCTTGTGCATGCCTGTAGACCCAACTTCCTGGGAGGCTGAAGTGAGAGGATTGCTTGAGCCCGGAAGTTGAAGGCCAGCTTGGGCAAGAATGAGACTCTATCTCTTAAAAAAAAAAAAAAAAAAAAAGAAAGCAAGCAAGCAAGAAAAAAAAAAAAAAATTCTCAGGCCTCTCAGCAGACTTACTGAATCAGAAATTCTGGGTGTGGGGATCAGCAGTCTTTATTTAAGAAGCCCTCTAGGTGATTCTGAGACATTTTAACATTGGAGAACCACTATTTTAGAACAGTGGTACTCATCTTGGGCTGCAGGTTACGATCACGTGGAGTGTTTCTTAAAATGCTTGAACCAGCTCCCCCCACCTTGAGTTTTGTTTTGTTTTTTCATTCAAATAGGTTCATGTGGATTCTAGAGTACTTTTTTTAAAGCTCACCAAGTGATTCTAATATGCAGCTGGGGTTGAAACCACTCTCTTAAATTTTCCATCTCCTCCCTCTGTTCCTACCACACACACATGAAATTACCTATAAAATGGGCACTGGTTTAGTGTCACTCTGCCAGAGACTCTTGCCTTCCCCATGGTAATGGGATCAGGGCCCTGCATCAGATCCAGCCAAACAGCCAAAACCTCACTATTCAAAGTGTAGTCCAGGGAAGAACAGAGTTTGCATCCCTGAGTAGCTTGTTAGAAATACAGAGTCTCAAGCTCCACCCAGACTTCCTGCATCATAATCTGTATCTTAAAAAGACCCCAGGTGATTCCTATGCACATCCAAGTTTGAGAGGCACGAGTCTAGGAGAGAGAAAGCACTGAGCATGGTTTCACAGAGCACAGAAGTCAAATCGTATTTTGCAGGTCTTTATTTCAGGATACAGTATCATATTGTTAAAGGTATTTTGCCATTGGTGGAGCTTCTGAACAGGGCCAGAGCAACCCTTAACGTCATACAATTTCATGGGTTCACAGCATAAAATGAACCTCATGAGTCTTGGCTTCTGTTGACTATTGGGTAGAGAAGGTAACTTCTACATGAGGGTTTGAAAAAACAGACCATCCAGAAAGATCCACACATACCCAACCCAAAATAATACATTATACCTGCTTCTAACCCAATCACATTTATTGAGTGCTTACTATATGCCAGGTTTCATGCTAAGTACTCAACGCACATTAACTTAGTCTTCCCAATATCCTCATGAAGCAGGCACTGTTATTATCCCCATTATGGAAATAAGAAAGGAAGCAGAAACATGGAGAAGTCAGGCACATTTCCGGAGTAAGAACCAGAACTGAAATCTAAACCCATCTTTCTCTGGAACCTGGGGAGTAACCACAACACTATGCTCAACAATTACTCTAACGGAGAAGGAACGATGACTCCAAACAACTGTTTTTTAAACTTTAGCTTAAGAGCCCCAGACTCTTCCTCTAACAATCAGAAGAGCCAGAATTATATAGAATGGTTGCTGTGCCAACCCACAGAAGTCAAATATAACTAGGCAGCAAATTAGAGTAAACATTTAGGAATTCCTTGCATGTGGCACACGACTCCACCCACCCTTCTTGGCACAAGCCAAGACGTTGATTATATGGATCCCGCTGGCATTTCATGTCCTCGTGCGAGTCATACAGAGTATCCTTCTTACTGCTGAATGTGAACATGACCAGACTTATTTGAGTAATTTGGCATGTTATGGTGATGACTCAATAGTGCAGACCAGGGCAAGAGCTCCAGCCTATGCCCTCCCCCACACCCCTTACCTTTTTTTGTTCAATCACCTGGTATAAATAGAGGGAGAAAAGTTGTTTGGCATGATAGTCACGGCTGACGGTCATTTTCTAAGTACTGGGATTTCCTGAAGATAAAAGTCACCAATTGTCCTGGAGCCATTAACTGCAACTGATTCATAAGCCCTGGGAAATACATCTCATCTAAACAGTTTTTGTCAAGTGAGATAAGGCAGGGGAGAGAGGGGAAGGGCATCTACAGGTGCTTATATTTGGAGCAGAATTTTTGTCCCACATATGCCAGTCAATCAGCATTCCATTCTACTGACTGTCTCCCATTAATACAGTGGGGTTTTTACATGTTAACCGAATTTATAGGCATGGGAGTTTCCTGTGAAAATTCCCTGTGCACTGTTCAGAGGTGGGAGCCCTGAATGTTTATATGCTCTTTCTTTGTACTAGGTCAGAAATACTCTCATTACCAGGCAGCATCTGATAAGAGCACTACTGGGCTGTGGTCACAGAGCCTCAGGTGATGGACATTAATGGAGTAACTCAGACATTTCATGTCTGAGTTTGTGGCCCTGTAGGCGTATTCTCAATTAAGAGCATATTATCAATGTTTCTAATTCATACTACAACTTTGTTTGGAATAAGCAAAAGGACTATGTATTAGTCCATTTTCGTGCTGCTGAAAAAGACATGCCTGAGAGTAGGAGGAAAAAGAGGTTTAATTGGACTTACAGTTCCACATGGCTGGGGAGGCCTCAAAATCATGGCACTTCTTACATGGTGGCGGCAAGGGAAAATGAGGCAGATGCAAAAGCGGAAACTCCTGATAAAACCATCAGATCTTGTGAGACTTATTCACTACCACAAGAACAGTGTGGGAAAAACCACCCCCATGATTCAAATTATCTCCCATCAGGTTCCTCCCACAACACATGGGAATTATGGGAGTATAATTCAAGATGAGATTTGAGTGGGGACACTGAGCCAAATCATATCAGATTGCTCATAAACTCATAAACATTATTACTGAAATAAACTTGCCTAAGTTTTTGGAAAGTTAGCATTTATAAAACTTTGCTTGGAGACACAATGAAAAAACCTGATAATCCAAAGCTCTACTGTATTTGCTTTAAGAATCTTTCAAAACTTTTGTTCATATTTTCAGGAAAAGTCTGATTTTGAAATTTATTTTGCACTATTTTGTACTATCTAGACTATTCCTGAGTGTGCATCAACATATCCAGGAAGCTACTTAAACTACAGATTCCTAGGTCTGAGTCTAGATTTATATTAAATCAACAAATCTGAAAGTGCACCAGATGATTTGTATTTTTAAATGACCTCTAGATAATTCTGAATAGCCAGACTTGGGACCCATTGGTCTAACCCAATGGTAGAACTGGCACTTGGCATGGGAATCAGAAGTCCCAAATTCTACCCTTAGTTCTGCCATTTATTGCATAATATTGGCATATTATCAAAAGTAATTTGGACCCTAGTTTCTTCATATATAAAGTATCTAACGCTAATTATTAACATCTTAACCAGAAGTTAAAACCCAGTCTAGTCCTTCCTCTACTCTTTTTTGTGGGCGAGTATCCAGGGGGTTCCAAGGAATGAAACCTTCATGCAGAGCTCTAAGATTAGAGCACATGATTTAAGCTAATCCAATCAGCTAAATCACTTTCTTGCCCATTGTGATTGGTTCAAGTTTAGTCCTGTGACTAGTTCAAGCCAATCGGTGCGAAGCACAGGTATGCTTCCTCTGTTGTGCTAGACCTGAATGATGAAGCTCACAGCTTTGAGAGCTTCCTGAAACCATACTGAGACTATAAAGGAGCAGAACACATTGAATATAGATTAGCAGAAATTTTAAGTTTTCAAAAACTCTTTATCTTGACCTACTTGTATTATCATATGTAATATCTCTCGCCTCTTGTTTACCTAACTATACTATACTATGCTATACTATACTACTGGGAGTAGGTTGTAGATATGATGTTCCTTTACCTTAAAATACTTCATCATAGATCTCCTAAGAAAAAGAACATCATCTTATTCCCTTACTAAACCACAGTGCAATTAATAAAACTCAGAAGTTTAACACTAATACCATACTATTATCTAAATTCACAGTTCATAATCAAATTTTGCCAGTTGTTCAAATAATGTCTCTCACAGATATTTTATTTTCTCTGCTCTAGTTCCCAATCCAGCATCACTGCATTTATTATCTCCTTTGATAATCCTTTAATCTGAAACATGGTTTTTAAAATTTATTTTGTTTTGGTTTTGTCTTTTATGACATTTACTTTTTTTTAAGTTAAGGTCAGTTTTTATTAGAATATCCCTCAAATTGAGGTGGCGATTATTTTAAACATGCAAATGCTTAATGAAACCTTAGGGCATTTATGCATATTGCATGAGAATTATAGGTATATTCCTCATGCATACTTTATCAGCAATGTATACAGCTTGTAAAAGTAGGCATATATTTGTAAAATATGTGAGGAGGGAAAATGAAAAATTCACAATTTTGGAAACAGTGGAGTTTGACACCCTATTCTCTACATTTTCCCTAACTACCAGCAAATTGAGGAAGACCAGGAATTAACTCCTATATTAAGGTGAGTGTGACACACATTTATGTGGAAATAATCAAGAAACCGTTTCTTTTCTTTTTTTTTAACTGTACTCTCTAATAAAAGGGACAAGATCAAAATATTAGAAACAGGATTTTACAACCAAGAGGAGAGAGGGGCAAAAAGTATGAGACATTGGCACCAACACAATATCTGAGTGGTGAAGTGGGAAGAGTTGTAGATGAGAAGTCAAGAAGCCAGGATCCTACTCACTCTCTGAGTGATCTTTGGCAGGATGCCCGCACTCTGTGGAGTACAGTTTCTTTATCTATAAAATTAGAGGGTTGGACTAGATGCTTTCTAATGCCTCTTCCAGTTCAGTGGGTCTATGAAAGGCTCATATCTACATCATTCAAAATCTGATCAAATGCCAGACTGGGCGGCAGTTCAGAGAAAGGGACTATCAACAGGCAAGGCAATAATGGGAGGTTCCCTGTAAGAGCTGGGGGTAGGAGGTGGACTCATGAGGAATAGGAAAGAATTTTGTAAGTGGAGAGAGAACAAGGACCTGCTAAAACAGAGAGCAGTCAAAGTGAATACACACTCAGAATTGAGCATAAAATGTTCTCGTAACAGAAGACCAGCTTGGTCAGCACAGAGGTATGAGTTGGGGGCTTAAACAAAGGGACAACTTCTGTGCAATATAGTCAGCCTCTCTATTGTGGCTACTTTTAGCTACCATGAAAACTTTCACTGATGCATTCTGAGATGATGAATATGCATATCAAAGAGTCAATGAATACTGTATAATAATTAGCTTGCAGTTCCTTCATAAGAAATAGTTTTATTCCATTTTGCATCTGTATCTATGTGGAAATTTTATCTATAGATAGCAACATTTTCCCCCATCTTAACCACCTATTTTTTTCCACAAAGAAGGAATGCAGCACTGTCTGGATCATTCTGTTTCGTGCATTGAGTGTCACTGCTGCTGGGGGTTGGTTTACTCCGCAGTGGAGATTATGCCCTTTATTGAAAACTGATCATAGGTACATGAGCTCATTGAATCTTCATTAGTTTTTTATAAACAGCCATTTCCCCTCAATTTTATAACTAGTAAAATTGGACTCAAAAAGAGTTCTTAGCCAAGCATGGTGGCCTATGCCTGTAATCCCAGCTACTTGGGAGGCTTAGATGGGAGGATCACCTGAGCCCAGGAGGTGGAGGCTGCAATGATCCATGATCATACTAGTACACTCCAGCCCAGGCAACAGTGAGATCCTGTCTCAAAAGAAAAGAAAAAAAGAAAACTCTTCAACTTGCCTAGAACTGGGATATGAATCTAAAGTTATGTTTTTAACATCTGTGTTGATTTATACGTAGTACTTTCTGATCCTTGTAAATAATGCTTTACTTTGCAAAGATAACTGATGGGGCTTATGAGCTGAGAAAAATATCTCAAGAACCTTATCCCAAGTAGACATGTCAAGCACCAACCAGATTGTTGGTACCAACTTCAGTCAAATACTCTGAGGGTGATTTACACAGGCAACAAAGGTGAGAATATTAAAATGTGAATGACCTAGTTATAAGTATTGCCAGCTGAACAATATTATTAAAATCATTACCAAAAACTATTTGCTGGTAGTTTGAAGTACCTTTATATGTGTTTGAGACTTTATATATACTTAGGACCAGAAAGGTTATTTTTGTATGTCTTATAAAACAATCAATTCTACTTTACACACAGATCATGAACCAAATTTACGTACAGGTAACAGAAAATATGAAGAAGGGGAATTACTTAAAAGGGAGAGGTTATAAATTCCACATGCCCCCTGCGGTAGTTTTTGAAACATTATTTAATGGTAGCAGTGGTTATGGGCATGTGTGTACATATGCTTTGAGGATGTTGGGGTTTTTTTAATGTTTTATATCCTTTGTAGTGTTTCAAACATCTGTAGATTTAGTGGAAGAAGATTATAAATCTGCATGTATTTTGGGGTAGAGTTGTAAATTGTTGGTATTGGCTGTAATGTTTGTTCTTACTCATAAACCGGCCTTGTCCCTTCCTTCTTTCCTTCCTTCCTTCCTTCCTTCCTTCTTCCTTTCCTTTCCCCTTTCCCTTTCTCCTTCCTTCCTTCCTTCCCTTCCTTCTTACAGCTCTTTCTTTTTATCTACTTCATTCCTTCTTTCCATCCTTCCTTTCTGTTTCATTTTCTAAGGTGATAAATTCTTCTCAGTAGAAAATAAAAGTGACCAGAAAACAGACTGCTTAACACAAAAAAGTAAAGGGCCATTTAGTTTTCCAGAGGCATCAGATGAAATCCTGTAGTGATAAGAGGATTTAAAGACTTTCTCTTATTTTTAATTAAACAAGAAGACTTAATCATCTTCCATATGGCATATTCTATTGCAATCAGAACATATGGAACTCCTATGCCTATGTCTTCAATGTAAAGAAAGTCAATTTCAAAATACACATTACCGCATTTTTAAAAAGTTAATTTTTACCTGCTAGAAACAAATAGGATTTATTAATAATGCATTTCAAGTTCAATTTATATAAGCAGAGTTTTATTTTTCTATTGATTTTTATGATAATATTGGAAATCTGTTACCAAATTCTATATTAGATTACCATGGCTGCTGTAACAAATTATCACAAATTTAGTGCCTTAAAACCACACAAACTTATTCTCTTACAGTTCTGCAGAACAGAATCCCAAAATCAGTTTCGCTGGGTCAAAGTCAAGGTGTCAGCAGGACTGGTTCCTTTTTGAGGCTCTGGAGGAGAATGTATCCTCACCTTTTCTAGCTAAGCACTTTAAACATCTCAACTCATTTAATGATCACAACAGCCCTGAGAGACTGGTACATTGATTTCCACTATTTGGCAGATGAGGAAAATGAGACAGAGAATGGCAAAGTGACTTGCTCTGAGTCACACAGCTTCTAAGTAGTAGGGCTGGAATTTGAACCCAATCAAGATCCTACAATCTGTGCCCTGAATCCCCATTGTCCTTCCATTTCATAATAGAATATCACCACATTTTAAGACTGTAGAAAAGTTTTTAAATTACTTCCCTAAGAAAATTATACTTAGGATTAAATTGATATAATATTTTTTAATACAGGGAATATTTTGGAGTTTGACACAGTTGCTTTAAAAAGCTAAACGAAAAATATTTCTAAGGAATAAAAAAATACATTAATGAACATGGATCTCCAGAAAAATGAAAAAGAGAAAATACAACACTTGTAGTGGTCTTTAATGCCTGGCTAGCATTAGCCAATAACTCATTTCCTCTATATTATCCTTGATCATAAGAGTAACCTGTAAGAGGAACTTGTTTACTGCAATTGGAGAAATAAAAAGTTTCAATATAAAATATTGCATTATTTTAAATGGACAAATGAGTAATCAAATATGTACATGTAAATAAGGCTTATTTATTATTATTTGCATATAAACATGCTATTTGTGTGCAATAAAGTAGATCATTTTAAAAAATAGATCAGAATTTCTAATACAACTCTGTTTTCACAATTAATTTGTTTTACCTTTTCTTTTCAAAAGGATGCTAACATCAAACAATATTGGTTGAATTATTGTGCATGCTGAATTCATGCGTATTAATTTCCTTCCTACTGAAGTCCTATTTGCCCAATGGATTGTAAAGAAACTCTGCAAGGTCATTTACAAGCAATAATAACAACAAACTATGTAATCTCTTTGTTACTAAGCAGGCAGACATTAAACAATTTGATTAATTGCAAGTATATATATATATATATATATACACATATACACACACACACACACACACACACACGAACACACACACACACATTTCTTTGTAAGGCCATAGTGGCTGTATTTGACTAAATTATCTGTAATACATTTCTAAGTCATCCCTTAGCTTATGATATTTTCCCACATCCTAACACTACAACATGACCCCCAAAACCTCCTGTTATTCATTGATTTTGCACAGTAAGACCTTCTCTTGGATCATGCTTGATGTTTAGAATGTATAAGACATGGTCCCTATTCTCAAGCAAGTAACAAACAAAGAGGGAAGCTGGCGGGAAAACAAACACTGTGATACAGACTGTAAAAGAATTGTATATACAAAACGCTATGAATGCTTGTCAGGGCTATTGCTTAAGGAAGGTTTTGGAGTTGTGTTTTCTGGAATGAGTAGGAGTGTCAAGGTGCGTGGCATCTTCAAAGATATACCAGAAGGATAGTATCCCCTCCAGGATTGGAGGGGGGGAATGGGGGCAGATTATGAAACTCCTTTATCTATGCTAACAAGTCTAAATTTGATCTTATAGGCAATTAAGAACCATAAAATGTTTTAAAGTTATTGTGTGACACCATCCGCCCCAATATATCCCACTCCCAAACACAAAAATTCCTCCATACTCTTATTATATTATTCTCCTCCCTGCAAAATTTTCCCGAGGAGTTCAAGAAAAAACTGATATTAGTGATCCCAGAATTCCTTGATTAACATAGGTCAAGGCACGGCACTTGAAGATTTGAAGTCACATTGGCAGGGGTTTTGCTCCTCTCTGTTGGAGGTCTTTACTTGCTACTTGCAGTCAGTGGGAAGGTGGGGGCCAGGAGGTGCAGGATTCTATCCCCTTTCAACCGGAGCAGTTTGCTTTGATTTGTTACACATATTGTTTTCCTAGATGAGATTTCTTCTGGAAAGACAAGAAACTGGACTGCGGAAATGGATGTTTTCACACCATCTTCAGTTAGTGGTAAGGTGAAGCCCCTACTAAAGATATGGCTTCTGGCTCTCAATGCACCATTAACCGGTGAGTGATGTGTCCCTTGTCAGGTGACTTGCAAGCTACATGTGGATTGATTTCCTTCATGATTCCACAGAATCCTAGAACAGGGGGTGTCTTCAGAGGCCCAGAGAAATTGAGAGTGTTGCCAAGATTAGTGAAATAACAGTGCCAGAGGAGACTCTGGTTCTCCAGGTAGCAAGCTCAGAGCTTGTTCCACTACCATCCGTCTCCACACCACATCCCCCACCTGCAGTGCTCCCGGCTGGTAGCTCCACGGTCTCTTGCCTGGACCACTGCCACAGCCTCCTAACTGGTCTTCCTGCTTCTAACCCTGAATATCCTCAACAACAGCAGCCATCCCATTATAACTCCTGGGATCAAGACCTGAGGTCAATGAAATCTGTACTAACTGCGTCACAGAGTAGAAAGATCAGATGAGTTGGGACAACACTTTGACATGTGGAAGACCGTTGTTTTTATCACTAACCCGAAAGTTAAATAAAATAAACCTGCTTGAAAACAGGAGGAGGCTACTTGGCATCGCCACGGTTTTCATGGGAGCCTTTCAACACTCATCAGTTCCTCCCTTAATTTCCTCTTCTGTGATCACCTCTAGTGCTAAAAGGACATAGGCTTTGCAGAAAGGGCAGCTGGCCCAGGCCTTCCAACAGGGCAAAGTAGCATCAGGAAACAAAACTGAATACTGCCATCTACTGGGAGAAAAAGGCACACTGTGGAGAAAGCTCATTAAACCAGGGAGGAAGAAAGTAACTGAAAGAGACAAAAGATACCATTTATAAGCAGAGCTCCTAATTAGGGGGGATCACTGGAAAGATGAAAGAAAATAAAGGTGCAGGGGCATGGTGGAAGCAGAAAACGTGATGTGTAAACTTAACTGGTACTTAAGGGGCACCGTTCCCACTCACTTCATTTTTCAAGGGAAAAACAGAAGCCCAAGAGATTTGAGCAAATTGCTTGCTGTCGCTACTAAGTAACACCAACACTAAACCTTTGGCTCAATTCGTGATGCATTGATTGATATTACACTTTCAAACAAGCAAGCACATAATCAAATGCAGAGACCATTGTATCTATATTTTTGGTTGCTTGGGAATCTATGCATCTACCTATCTATCTACCTACCTACCTACCTACCTACCTACCTACCTACCTACCTAGGAATGCATGTATTTACTTACATTCCAATTGGTTTCAGAAGTATTGACAGTGGCTGAATGAGAAGGTGGTGACCAACATCATTTATGAATGAGACGTATAGAGAGGAACTGGACAAATTTTGAGCATGAGTCATGAGAGGGAAAGATCGCCAGGATTGGAGGTGGAACAAGAGATTAAGACCTGTGCCTCACATTGATCCCTTATCAATAACATTCACTGGAGGAAGCTGTTTCCACCAGTTATTCTTTGTTCTTCAATGACTACTAGTGACTTGGACTAATGCCAGAGTAGCTACATTATTCCAAAAATGAAGAAAGCCAGGAAATCCCATTGAACCTTTCTTCAATATATATCCAGATTTGTATAATTTCCTTCCACCCACACTGGTACCTTGCTGGCCTGTGCCACCATCATCTCTTGCCTAGACTGCTGCAATAGCCTTATAACTGGTCTTTCTGCTTCTAGTCTTAGCTATTCTCACCAATGATAGCCACCGTCATTCTATGACAACTTCTGGTTTCAAGACTTTCCAAAGCCCCCTCTTCTATCTCACTCACTAATGAGTGAAAGTTCTGTAATTTAAGAGGTGCTGCTCCGTGCAATCTGGTTACTATCTCTTCCCCTTGTTCTTCCCATTGCTTGCTCAGTTCCAGGTACACTGACATCCCCCCTCTTCCTGTAGCCAGAAGAGCACCTACCACAGGGCCTTTGCACTGGCTGTTTCCCCTGTCTGGAAGGTTCCTCCAGATATCTACATAGGTAAATACCTCATCTCCTTCAAGTCTTTGTTCAAATGTCATTTTCTCATTAAGCCTACCACATTTAAAATTGCAAACTCGTAACTTCTCTTGTGCTTATAGATGTTAATAGCACTTATTTTAAATATGGTATATAATTACTTCTTCTCACAAAATGGAACAAAACCAGGAAAGCTGAGCTGAGTACCCTGAGGGAATAGCAGATGACCCCTCATTCTCAGAAGGCACAGCAGCTACTCTGTTTATGTCTCTTTGCTCCCAGGGTCTTCTCTTTTAAGATTCTGTCTACCGGTCACAGAATGCTCAGGTATGGGAAGGAAATGATTTTGAAAGCCATGTTTGGTTCTTGTAGAAGGCTTGGCAGAGAAGCTGTGTTTATTTTAGAGCATGATAGGTGTCATAAACAGATTTGATTTGATCCAACATAGATATCTTCAGTGGGAAGAAGGAAGACACTGGAAGCCCAGAAACTCTTTAGTAAGTTGGTGCCAGTACCAACCCTTTACCAGGGTAGATCTTTGCCCTGGGTCCTGCCTTTTAGAGAGCCCAACTCCGACCTTTCTCTGGCAAACATC